>NC_000013.11:86252979-86556009 GCF_000001405.40 Homo sapiens | reverse complement strand
CAGATAAGGAGGCATATGGAGTGATTAATTCCCTTTAATCATGTTGTTATGCTTAAATACAATTGGAACAGGGAGGAATATATTTGGAAACAAAAATTTTCTTTGGGCTTTCTCTTAAGTTCTACAATAATGCAGAGCAATAAAAAATAGGATAACTTAATAAAGGTCTGCCTACCCTGAAGCAATAAATGACTGGGTTTCACCCCTTGTAGCTAGTGTGCTACCAGAGGGCAGGAGACTGTGAAAAGTTGGTAGAAGGAGTATGTTGTGATTACCAATGTAAGGTCGTGACAAGATTTAGTCTGGGGGCTGTAACATCTATGATTTACGTAAATTAATTATCCTCACCACCACTACCTCTCTTTCTGAAATGTGATCTGAAGAACACTGGTAATGACTACTATGTTAGGTTTTAGTTTGGAGCAAGACTTGATTGTAAGCCACCTATCAATGATAAAATAAAATGGATGATAACGGATCTTTGTGAATCCTTCTCATTAGGAAAACACTATATTTAATCTGAAATAAAGATAGAGTAGATGATAAGAAACAAGACAAGAATTGTGTCAGGTATTTTCTTTCTTTTTTTTTGTAATTATACTTTAAGTTCTAGGGTACATGTGCACAACGTACAGGTTTGTTACACATGCATACATGTGCTATCTGACTTACCATGTCCACTCTGCACTCTCCTTGATCCTGCTCTCTTCCCTGAAAGACTGATAGTATGAACTGTATCAATGTGTTCTCATGCCTTTTGACTTCAAATTGGGATTAGCCATTTGATACTCACAGATGGACATCAGAAAAGAGGAGGAGAGAAAAATCAAAGTATTGATTTATCTGGCTTTCTTCTAAAATAAGCATTAAATAATTATGTGCTAATGAATGAAGCAAATAAAAATATAAACAAATTATAAAATTATCTAAAATTAGGGATATTTTCTACAAGTTTCTTGGTTAGAAAATACGGAATATATACTTATAAAAACCAAATAAATAATCAACAATTTATGATTTATTATTTATTTTCCTGTTTTATAATGTTAAAACCCATCATCAATCCACCAAAATAATGTGTATACTATGAAATAAGGTGTAATGACTTATCATTGACTTGCTTTTGGAAACAGATGATAATAGGAAACAAATTCTAATAAAATTAATTACTCATAAATCCTTCTTATTATTTCTTGTGCCTGATGCATATTAAGTTTAACAATAGTTTAGAAATGCCTTAATCCCTTGCCCCAATAAGGAAAAATATTAATAATGATTTAGTTTGCCTTTTTTTATTATTTTCCAGATAAATTTTCCTGTCTTTTTTGTAAGAAAAATAGAGATGAGAAAGTGACAGAAAGACACACAGACAGAAAATCATCACGAAAGACCTTAGGCAAAGAATAAAATAAGGTTCATTTAATTATGAGTAAAGAAGGTGTGCTTAGACTTCTGAAACCAATGAGACCAGCAATGTTGCCAGTCATCTCCTTTTCAATCCTGCATCCTTGTCTATGTGAGCGTTTTTTGTTTTTTTTTTTTTTTTTGGCTTGTTTGTTTGTTTGCTTTCAATTTAGACAAGCTCTTTTCATCTATTTCTGAACACAGGCATGAGTAGTTGTTAGAAAGCAATGCCTTTATTATCTACTCCTGGAACAATCAACTGTAGACAGAGATCCATAGTCATACATTGTGAAGCCACTGGCAGAACATTAGAGGTGTAATAGGGAGGTGGGTTGGAAAGGGAAGTTGATGTTCTTAAAAGAGATACTTCTGCTTTCAGAGTAACAGAAAATTGCTGGGCAGAGTCAACAGCAGACACTCAACAGAGGATAAAAGGTGGGGAAATGTGTCCAGCATGTATTTTTTCCAAAATAAAATGTTTTAAATCTAGGGGAATTGCTATCCACATGCAATATAATATCCCACATTATCTCTAAGTGCTTCGGCAGCATAAATGGTTGCATGTATTATGTGGAGAGAGTAATAAAGGGTGAAGATGGTGCAACAACGAGGGTTGGGGCAGGAAAAGTTATCACTGAATTAAAAAAAAAAGATTGAAAAATAAATATGTTAAAAATAAAATGCCTTATGTTACAGAAGCAAGCCTGCCCATTGCTTTACCAGTATTTTAATACATTTAGAAAGGAAATGATTTCTTTGAAAACCTTCCTGTGATAGATTTGTGGATCCTGCTAATGTCACAAAGAGGTTGTGCCTTTCCTCTTCATACACTGGAGACTTGATGATGAAACTACACCTACTTATCTATAATTTTACTTTATAATAATGTTTAAACTTCCAGAAAAAAAAAAAGAGTGTCTTTTTTTCTTAATGATGCTACAATGGGCAAGGTTGGATGACTCAGTTGAATCATGGTTTCGATTCCTTTCCTTTTGTAAACAGCTCAGTTTGCACAACAAAATGCTCAGTCAAGACACAAAACTATCTCTTCTTTAAAATCACTGTATGTAAAAACTGTGATTTTATGCACTCACTGTTTCTAAACTTTCCCTCTAGGTTTCTGGTAACAGCTTTCATGTAGGATAAACTGTGACACCAAAAATGGGCCATGATGCTGCTCCATTTATTTTATTTTTTATAATCAGGAAATTATGTTTTTTAAGTAATTGCTGCATTTCCATGGTGGCTTTTGGAAAGTCGAGTATTACTCTCATATACAGAATAGAATTCAATTCAATTACCAAATAGATTTTTTAAATATCTGATTATATTTTACATATAAATCCATATAAGTACTTTCTTCTGTTTGATGTTTTTTAAAGATACCTGGAATAACTGTTTGAATGTTATTTTTTGTTTATTCAACATTATTTATATGCCATCATATATAAGACTACCATGCTATTTAAAATTTTTAGATATTTTGGGGTTTTTTACATGATTTAAAATATTTGTGACAACTCTTTTTTTACATGTATTTATATCACTGTCATCAATTTCAGTGTGTTGAAAACTATCCCCCAGCAGTATATGTTGAAGTCTTAATCTCTGGTTCCTGTGAATATGACCTTATTTGGAAAGATGGTCTTTGCAGATGTATTTACATTAAGAGGGAATAATAGAGTTAAGTCCTAAATCCAATGACTAGTGATTATAAAAGGAGAAGGAAATGTGGAGATTCATTGAAACACAGGAAAGAAGCTCATCTGAAGACACAAACAGATACTGAAGAGATAAAGCTACAGCTCAAACAATGACAAGGATTGCTGGCAACCATCAGAAGCTAGCAACAGGCAAAGATAGAGTATCCTCTAGAGCCTTCAGAAGGAACATGACTCTGTTGACTGATTTGGGGCTTCGAGGCTCCAGAACTGTGAAAAAGCAAGTGTTTTTGTGTGTCAAGCCACCACGTTTGTTATTTGTTTTGGCAAGACTAGGAAACTAATAATGGCAACTATCATTTTGAAGCAGGAAAATAAACATAGAAAAATAATTTTTGGAAAAAAATCATGTTTTGTTAAAAAGTAAATAATTTTACTGTGATTAATAAAATACACAGGGAATTATAAAGACACTGCCCTTAAAAATGTGTGCGTGTGTGTGTTTATATCTATGTACATTAGAAGGACATGGATAAAGGAAATAACGTACATCCTCAGTTGTGACAACTTTGTTTTGACCCACAATATGAAAGAAAGAAGCGTCTAAGGATGCACTTAGAAAAATTTCATTTTAACTTACTATTTAAATAGATAGATATTTGTGGACTAGGTTTCAAAATTTCAAGTTTTGCTGGCCTAGGGAACAACTTATGGCTGCTCCAGGGTAAGAGTTCAATAAATATCTTCAGGGTTACATATATATATATACACACACACACAATATATGCACGCACGTGCGCACACACACACATATATGTAGAGAACAGTTATTTTAAAATTTTCTAGCTTTATTTTCAATTCATAATTATATATTTCAAATACTTTAGATAATCTACGTACTTTTTAATTGCCTGTTACCTTGAATAATAAAATGAATGAGTTTCATTGAAAAAACCTAAGTACATTAGCCTCCTTTAAAATTTCTTTCGGAGCCATTTTTCCTTAGTACTGTTATTTTGTTTTGTTTTGGTTTTTTTTTTTTTTGCAAATTTGTACATGTAGGGTATATCTTACTTTCTGTTTTCTTTGTCCCATGTTGATCATCACTACCAAGAAAAGCATAAAATTATTCTGACTGATTCCACTATTAATTACAGTTTTCTAACCTCAGGCATGCCTTCAGATTGTTCTCAATGTCTAATGCCATGTAACAAATTGTCACAGAACATAGTATCTTTAATAATTGACTATTCACAGCTGGACAGTTCTCTCCTGGGGTTTCTCAAAGGCTCGCAGGCTAAAGGCATCTGGAGCTCAAGTCCCCTGGAGTCAGAATTGAGCCTGATGTGCAAGATGTCTTGCTCATTCACATGTCTGCTGCATGGGCTGGAAAGGTTGTAACAGATGCAGCCAACTAGAAACTAATTTCTTTCTCTCTCTTTTTCTCCTCTTCACCCCACTCCCACCAACTCCACACAGCATCCACAGCTGCTCGTATCCATTCTGAATGTTGTTTGTTTTGCTGGCATTTTTTGATGTTGATAAATAAACAAGTACTAACAGCTATTCTTGACTGTCATCTGGCTTATGATTGGTAGACATCATGGAAGACATCATCTACTCTAAACATATGCCTTTTAAACACTACATATGTTTTTTATACAGAGCTATATTAAAATGAAATTATAATATATAATTCATGTCACATATATCAATTTATTCTTCCATTTTTTTCTTCTATACTTTCTTTTATTTCCTATCTTCCTTCCTTTCTTTGTTATGTATTTATTATTTTTTATTTGAAATATCTTTATATATATATAAATTGTAGCCTTAAAAATATTGTTTTCAATGTAACATAAATATTCAGTATTTCAAAATAGCCTATTGACAAATTCTTCTTTATATGTCAAATTATCAAATAATTTATAATATCTCACCACTTCAAACACAGAAACATGATTTGTTTCTTACGTTTCTACCTTTATTTTCATCTCTATGTCTTTTGTACTTTCCTTCCTTTCTTCTTTCTTTCTGTCTTCCTTTTGAAACATTACCAAATTGCAACTGCATAAGCTAGTTGCTAGTTGAAGCTCCTTGAACCTCTCTTGGTTTTAAGTGCTGCCCAATTCATAAATTGTTCTTTTCTCAAATAAACTCTACTAAATTTAATTTGTCTAAAGTTTTTTATTTAACAATTTGGCATCAGAAGTTGAATGAAGTAGACCTTCACTGATACTCAGGAGCACTGAGTGAAAAAGCAAAGGTACCTAGCCAGGCCCACTGCATTCACTGACCTCTTATAGCAAGATGTACAAGAATGGAAAAATAACCGTTAACAATAACACTTATAAATTATTTAAATATTGGCTAGGCTTCAAGTAAGCACTCCTAACAGGATGACACATGTATCAATAGACAATACGTATGAATATAGAAAGGCTTTAGAAGGCAGTAATTTTAGAAACAACAATGACCCATGTCTTAATATGGAGTCTTACTACCTTAATTTAAATAAATACATATATTTATATAAATATGTGTGTTTTATATATATATAACAGTATGTATATATTATAGTGTATATATATATATACACATTACAAAGCATATATATACACACACATTATCATCTTGCACATGAAACATATATCTATAGATATGCATAGTTATTCCACACTCTGTAATCGCAGGGAAAACCAATGTTTATTCACATAAACATAGAAAAGCTATGTTCAAATAAAAGTAGAAGTAACATAATTTTTCTCAAAGTAACACCTTAGCCTGGCAGGAAATGCCTTATATTTGATACTTCCCGTTCCGAATAAGACTCTTAAATATTTTCTTCATATGTTTTTGAACATGAACAAAGCCTCATTCATTTGAAAAAGACTTTATAATTCTTCATTGTTGCACAGGATGAGTATAATATGCTTAAAAACATACTGGAAGTAGAATGTCATTCATCCAACAAAGAATAGCCCTCATTTTTGAACTCTATTTACCTTCGTATAAAACCACAAGTAAATAGCATGCTTTATTTTTCCCAGCACTTCAAATAAACAGTTATATTGTATTTGATTTTAGTCTTGCTATTAAGATATCAGCTAACAATCTAACTTTTGTAATTTTTGCTTTGCTTTGCTTTTGTTTTGTTGTTGTTGTCTTTTATATTTGAAATCCCTTTATGATATGCCTAGAGGTGTGTGTGTGTGTGTGTGTGTGTGTGTGTGTGTGTGTGCACGTATAATCATTTCTGGAACTTGATATTGAGAGTTATATGCATAAATTCTGCATAATATACTTATTTTCCTCATTCTGTCTAGTCTCTCCATTTGCAATAATTTTAAGATAAATGTTGTGTTGTAAAAATGTATTCTTTATATTTCGAAACTTTAAATAGCAGTGTTTGCTGTAGCTTTTATAATTTTTGAGAACTTTAGTTTACTAAGTATCTGCAATTATATCTAACATATTCTGTTAAATGTCCAATAAGATTCAAGTTTCAATTATTATATATTCATATCTAAAAGTTATATTTCTGCTTGATCTCTTTGGGAGTTATTTCTTTCTTACTCATTATTATTAATTCAATTTTAACATTAATTCAGGGATTTCTTATACCATTAAATTGAATTAATTTGTCATAAGGCTGCCTCTTTACTTTGAGTTTCTATGTGCAGAACTGCAACCTAACGTAGTAGGTAGGCAAACTGCAACACAAATTAAGACTATATTCTAAAATAAGTAGCCAACTCTCAAGTAATCTTAGCAGCCAAGCTTTAGCCAATCACAGAATGCCAACCAAGAAGATCATGTCCATCTAAAGTGAATGACTCATCTCACCATATCTAAACAAGGAAAATGCCAAGCTATTACCAATCAAGCTGTTCCCCTACATCTATAAATACAGACACCCTTTTTCTGTCTTTTTCTATCTATACATATGGTCTTCCTTTGTTGCTACTTGGAGCTCCTTGAACCTCTCTTGGTTTTTAAGTGCTGTCCAATTCATAAATTGTTCTTTTCTCAAATAAACTCTACTAAATTTAATTTGTCTAAAGTTTTTTATTTAATAATTTGGCATCAGAAGTTGAATGAAGTAGACCTTCACTGATACTCAGGAGCACTGAGTGGAAAAGCAAAGGTACCTAGCCAGGCCCATTGTGTTCACTGACCTCTTATAGCAACTGGGTTCTTGGCTGAATTCTCTCTCAGATTAGAACTCCATGAATTTGTGTTTTGAGCTCTCTGACTTTAGTTGAACAATTATTACTGGACCAGATGCAGGATCAGATTGTATCTGATAACTTACTGGATTGGATCAGTTAGAAGCCTCAGAAAGATACCTTATACAAGTGATTTCCTGCAACTATCAGCAGTCAGGGACACCAGGACTTCAGGACTACAACCCCTGGGATACCTGCTAAAATTGTGTGCAAATACTGTGGGCCCAGATCCTATTCATCTTTTGAAAAATAGGTTAACCTTACCAAGAACAACTTGGAACTACAGTGGCCACAGTGGTGAAGTTTTAACCGAGATAAACTTCTTACTGGTGAAGTGCATTAGAAAAGAAAGGGTCCAAAATGGAAGAAAAGCAATGGAATGCATACTTTAGTTGCTATGCAGAGTCATTTAAAAGATAACGTGAATCAAAAGATATTCTACAGAAGGCAAATTAAAAAATCCTAGAAGTCTTTTTCAGAAATACTAGTCAAAAGCTTTAACCATATTGACAGGACATCTTGTTGACTTGGGCACAAAAACAATTGAGATCCAGTTATTGTTTAATACATTAGTGAGTTTTTTATTTTTATACCTGGAACAGGTTAAATTTTTAAAATAAAAGCTATAAGATTACTTTTTGTTTATATATTTACACATGTTTATATGCATAATAATTTTTTTCTTCTTTTGATATTGCTAAATTTAAAAAAACACTGTTTTTGATTTTTTTTTAAAATAAGTGCTTGTATAGATTATTTTCTCAATGTTTATGATGGGTAATCTTTATAGAATAAACAATTCTTAATAAGAATATTATTGGTATAATAAAAACAGGCATGTATTTAGAGTTCTCAATATTAAATGTAGTACAGACCCACAACTTTTATTTCTATTAAATATTTTTAAGGCTCATCAAACTATAAACTTAACCTAAGAATAAAGATGTAAGTGAAAATGCAGTGTTCATTGTATCATGCATATCAAGTACAGTTTTCAAACAAGAAAAAACAAGTCATGTATTTAACTCCTTAGATTCTTGCTTCTGTGATGACATCTAACATGTGCATAGTTACAAGTAGTAACCAGGAAAATAACTTGATGGCAGCTAGCGTGTTTTGTGTTACAATGTAACTACTTAAAAATAGCTTTCCAATCTCACTGGTAACTTACACATTTGGAGTTTTGCTAAGTTAAATGATGAATATTCATTATTTATTATTCGATATTATAAATAATATTATTTATAAATATATTTATATTATTTCAAATAAGATAAAATGTTAAAACATTAATTGTTGAACATCAGTTTATGTTTATATGGCTTTGACATCTAGATTTTAATATGATATAGGAAATCTAAATATGTTTGAGTCTGTTAATAAATTTAAAAAATACCTTCAGAAAGCATCTATTTCTATAAATTATGAAATAGTGTTAATCTACAGAATGCTAATTAATAATCAGTTGCTAAAGATTAAAATGATAATTAATAGGCTGGATGTGATGGCTCACACTTGTAATCCCAGCACTTTAGGAGGCCAAGACAGGAGGATCACTTGAGGTCAGGAGTTCAAGACAAGACTGGCCAAACATGACGAAACCATGTCTCTACTAAAAATACCAGAATTAGCTGGGCTTGGTGGCAGGTGCCTGTAATTCCAGCTACTTGGGAGGCTGTGGCACGAGAATCACTTTAACCCAGGAGACAGAGGTTGCCGTGAGCCAAGATCATGCCACTCCACTCCAGCCTGGGTGGCAGAGTAATACTCCATCTAAAAATAAATAAATAAATAAAATTATAATTAATATATGGCATATAAAACTAAAAATAATGAGGAAAAGACTCTTACTTTGTCCTAACGTAAAGTGACTGGCTGTTTCAAATGAGAATGGGAAAAGCATAGGACAAATAACTAGAAGGATATAAGAAAGTTGTAGAAGTTTTGTAGAAGATGAATCCTGTGAGAGGAATTTTATATGTGACGAAGATGACTGAAATTAAAGAGGAATTATTTATAACTTTTTCTAACAATTAAGCATTAATATCAAAAGTACACCATTGCAAAAGTAAAACTGGTCCTTTCTGTTAAAACAGCAAGGTTTTCTTGGAGTATTGTTTTGGTGTTAATAAAAGGTTGTAAAAACTTTTTCTTATCTTTTTAAATAATTAGCCTAGGAAAAAATGATCTTGTTTTGTCAAAATAATTTTTTGTTGTTGTATGTTGTCTTTATTAAATTTTGATTACCTAAGAAAATGGAGTTCTCTATATTAAAAAACTATTTTTGTATTATGTAACTTACTGTATTTGCCTTTGAATTTTTAAATTTATCCCATTGGTTAATTAAATGACTATTATTTTCACAGTGACCTGTTATCTTATTTTGATCCAATGTTTATGAACCATTGATAATTTTGAAAATCTTCCAAAAATGAAATTCTAAACCATAATTTTTTATGCATAAAATTAACTTTGGGGTTTTCTAGATGGGCCCTTGGAACATTTCAAAAAGAAATATCACCTTATAAAAAAAGAGATATTAAACTATTTGGGCTAATTTAATATAATAAATTAGATGAGAACACTGTGAAATAATAAGTGATACTAAACCTTCTTTCAGTCATTTTTGTATGACTGTGTTATTACAATGTTTTCTAGCAATTTTGTGAAATTCCCAGTAAAGTGATAGTTCGCCATAATATTATTGACCAGAATTCTAGTTATTATCATAAAATGTGTTCCAGAGAAATAACCAAATTTTCTTGTCAATTACATTATTATTATAATGAATTCTCATGAAACCTTTAACCAGGACAACCTTAAGTCAATTTAAGCCTAAAGTGTTTTGTATTCAAGGACATTCATGAAAATAACTCTTAAAAGTTTTTGTTAAATTTAAGATTATGCTACTGGACTGAGTAAGAATACCCAGAACTCTAATAAAACTGATTGGTTGCATAAAACTGCTAACCCAATAGAACCAGAATTAACTGAATACCAAGAAAATGCCTTGAGGGATTTTTATCTTAAATGTACCAGTCTCACTCCAAGACAAATTGAAAATTGAATACTTCTTTATCTGAACAATGGAATAAAGAAGAATTTAATTTGTCAGCAGGCATACATCTCTCTGAATGGACATTTTTTGGTAGAATCTAAGTGGTCATCTTCTAGTAGCCTTTTCTGGTTTGACATAAATGTAAAATAGATTATTAGACTTTTGCTTCAAACATTGTCTACTTTAACTGACTACTGCAAAGACTATGATTTTTCAGAAAACCTTACATTGTCTTGCTTAAATTGCTTTAGTTAGCATGATTTGCCTTGGACATTTTATTGGTAAACAGGGGAGTGTGTATACAATAACTAACAGTTTCTGCTGCACGTGGATAAGGCCATGTATCTACTGTGATAAAAACTCAGTTACAAGAAATCAACAAAGAAGCTAATTGATAAAAACAAATATATAATTCTTCTGGCTCATTTTCAATATATTTTATTTTAATTGTCCCGATTTGTGGTGGCTCGAGTAAAAGAGTATACTTTAGTCTTTTCATATTATACTTCTGACAGACATCATATTTTTCTTCCTGGTGTGCTGTATTCTCTAAATAGTCCTAATTCGCTGATGTAGCCATCCATTGTACATCAAATGGTCTCACTACATTTGAATAGTGAAAACATAAAGAGAATATAATCATTCAGTTGATGTAATTAATTTAAATTCCATACTGAAACCAAGCCAGTTCATTGTGATGGTGTCAAAGGATAGGGTCAATGTCCAAATTTTTGTCAATTTCTCAAAATTGAGAGGCTGAAATTAAGGGAGATTGTTAAATTAAACTAAATTTGGCTTAAGGCTGCCTCAATACTTTAAGTTTTTATGTAGAGAACTGCAACCTAACTTAGTAGGTAAGTCACCAGAAACATAACTTTGAATATTCTTATAGCAAATAGGTGAGTTGTGTCAAATCATGACACTGAGTTTAGCCAATCACAGATTGCCAAGTAAGAAAATCATGTCCATATAAGGCACATGCCTTATCACACCACTTCCAAATAGGGCAAATGACCAGCCACCAGTCAAGCTCTTTCTGTATATCACTTCCTTTTTCTGTCTATAAATACTGCCTGCCCATATTTCTGGGTGGTATTTTCTGAACCTCGTCTGATTTTGATGATTGATATCATTGTTTAAGTTGTATCTTCACCTTTCCCTCTAAATGTGCTTTTTACAGTGCTATTGTTTTCTCTATAAGAATATTGAGTCAGCTGGGAGTGGTGGCTCATGCCTGTAATCCCAGCACTTTGGGAGGCTGAGGTGAGCGGACCACCTGAGTTCAGGAGTTCAAGACTAAGTTGATTCCGTGTCTTTGCTATTGTGAATAGTGCTGCCATAAACATCTGAGGGCATGTTTCTTTTTATTTTATTTTCTTTTGGATACATACTCTGTAATGGGATTGCTGGGTCAAATTGTAGTTCTGTTTCAAATTCTTGGAGAAATCTCCCAAATACTTTTCATAGTGGCTGAACTAATTTAAATTCTCATCAACAGTGTATAAGCATTCACTTTTCTCCTCAGCTTCTCCTGAATCTGTTGTTTTCTCTTCTTCATTTGAATAGGTCTGTTAACTTTTATTTAATTAATACTTTATTCTTAGAATAGCTTAGTTTGCAGAAAAATTGAGCATTTAGTGCAGAGAGCTCCCATGTAACCCTCAACCCCATTTCCTCTATTTTTAACATTCTGCGTTTGTGTGGCAAATTTGTTAGTTTGTGAACCTGTATTAATATATTAACTAAAGTCTATAGTTTACAATAAGGTTCATTATTTTTGCTATGTAAGTTCTACTGGTTTTGGAAAATGCAGAATGTCATTAATGCACCATTAGAATGTAAAGTAGAATGGTTTACTACCCACAAAAACCCTGTGCTCTGCCTATTCATTCCTCCCTTTCTTCAAAATCTGGACAACCAAAGATCTTTATCTATACCATCTCTATCATTTTCCTTTTCCAGAATGTCATATAGTTGGAATAAGATGGCATGATCTTTTGCAAATTGGCTTCTTTTGCTTAAGTCTGTGCATTTAGAGTTACTTAATGTTTTTTCACGGTTTGATAGCTCTTTTTAAATCACTAAATAAAATCTCATTGTATGAATATAAAGAGTTTGCCCATTCAACTATTTCAGGACATATTGACTGCTTCTTTTTTTTTCTTTCTTTGCAATTAGAAATACCGTTGCTATCAACATTGATATGCAGGTTTTTGTGTAAAGGTAAATTTTTAACTTAATTGAAGTATATACATATAAGTGTGATTGGTGGATCTTCTGGTAAGTTTATGTTTAGCTTCCTAAGAAAATACCAAACTGTTCTTGAAAGTGCTCTGTAGTATTCTGGATTTCTATCAGCAACCAATGAGGGTTTCTGTGATTCCATAACCTTGCCCAAATTTGAAATCATTGCCAATTTTATTTTCACTGGAAACATACCTTCACTTTTGAAATTTAAAATAAAAAGAAAGCCCCAGAAACAATAAACTAGAATAATATTTAAATTTAAAATTAGGTTAAGTTTATTAGTGAATTGTTCTCTTCTAGAATGTTTTACTGAAATGATTTTTAACAATATATAGTGCATATAAGTTCAAGTTACAGTTCATACTTAAAAAAATGGGCTATATCTAAAATGTTCCTTTGTAAAGTTATTAAAATTACTAACTTAAAAACAGCCTCATAAAGATTGTTTTTAATTTTCAGGGATTTTAATTGTACAGAATTTTTATTTACAATAAATTAATATAACTTTTCTATGGCTCTTAAAGACATCCACATTCAGCTGTAAAATATTATGTGTCTTGGCTTAAAGGGAGAAACATCAATATTAACACCACTCTTACTAAAAATTTTATTAAAAAGAATTAAAGAAAGAAATTTGTTCTAATTGGAAGTATATTTATAGAAAAGTCTACCTCATCCAATGAGTTTACAGGCTTCATAAGTGAAACAGAATAAAATGAAATTTTATTATGTGCATTGTTTTAATAATCTAATTTAATTAAAAATAGCTAATTAAATAGAAAAAAGTTTACGTTTCCAAATTCAGTCAGCTAATTTGAGTATCTGCTATTTGGGGGGAATGGGACCAGCATTTTGATGCTAGTCAAATAATCTGATATCTGTGAATATGCCCAATATAACACATACTATAGTAGGAACTGACTGACTTTCTCTTTTTTTTTTTTTTTTTTTTTTGAGACGGAGTCTCACTCTGTCGCCCAGGCTGGAGTGCAGTGGCACGATCTCGGCTTACAGCAAGCTCCGCCTCCCGGGTTCACGCCATTCTCCCGCCTCAGCCTCCCGAGTGCTGGGACTACAGGCGCCGGCCAACACACCCGGCTAATTTTGTTTTTGTATTTTTAGTAGAGACGGGGTTTCACCATGTTAGCCAGGATGGTCTCGATTTCCTGACCTCGTGATCCGCCCTCCTCGGCCTCCCAAAGTACTGGGATTACAGGCGTGAGCCACTGCACCCGGCCAGGAACTGAACTTTCTAAATGGTATGGAAGTAAAAAGAAATTAAGCTAAGTAATCTATTTACACATGATGAATTATTGTATTTCAGAGAACAAAGGTGTTAATTATTATTCTTTATAATTTAGTGTCTTAGAGCATATTTAATCTGTGGTATTTGATTTCCTAGCTTTTGCTAATTATTTGCTTTAAAATTCAATTGAAAGTGCTAATAATAAATTTATCCTATGTAAAATAATATGTAGTTATTTTATAATAAAAGAAAACTTAAGAATTATAGTGTGATTGAAAACCGAGATAGAAACAGAAAATTCCAGCAGTCAGTGCTAAAAGGACATTTGTTCATTTAACAGTGGAGAGGTCATTCTTGGAAAGCAAATAAGCGCAGTAGGAGACACCTACAAAGGCATAATATCTTCAAATCAGATTGATGTAAGCTACTCTTGGTCACCCGCAGGCACCCCCAATTATCTAGAATTATTATCCCAATTAAGCACCTGTCTTTACAGTTGAGTGTTATTAGGCTGGATTTGATAAGATGGGAAAGTCCCAATTAAGAGGGCTCCCTAATTAAGCATGCTTTGATTAAGTGGAACAGCCTGATTACTCAAAAACGTCATTTTCTGTTCTACTTCAATAGCATCATGATCCATTGCTTAACATATTTTATCTGTGTAAATAATTCTGGAATTTTTAAAATCCTAAATATTTAATAATAGTTAAAAGGAAAAAAATCAGAAGTGTTGGCAAAAATGGTGCAAATATGGCAAAATCTTTTTCTCTTACCACTAAGTTAAAAGCAAGGCTAAAATTACACACAACACACACACACACATGCAATCACATATAAAATTCCATTTCCTGTAATTTTTCTTGGTTTTATTTTGAATATTCCATAAAACATTTGAATTTTCAATTACATTTAAAACCTCTTGATAATCATGAGTAGCCAGTATCTTTTGTGTGACTTCTGGGAAGCTAATGCAATATTGTTCACCTATTACATATTTCACTCTATTATAATTTACAATTCTATTCTTTTTCATTTTTCTTCAAAAAATTATTAAATTTTAAAAATTATATGCAAAGAATTGGTTTATTGCTACAATAGGAGCGATAGGCTTAAAGACAAGCTTAATAAACGTAATTGCTTATTGAGTATAATGAAGCTAGTAAATATATTATCCATAATGCATAAAAGAAAAAATAAGGAAATGCATGATCTCAGATAGGAAGGTATTTTTTATAGATGGAGAATCAAAGTGTATATGACAATTACAATTGATAATATTATTATTCTGAGTTTACTAACCTTGTATATTTGGCAAAAAAAAATATATATATATATATACCATGAAAAATTTATGAATCAGTTAGAATATTTAAACAGATCTGAGAATAGTTGGAAATAAAAAGTTAATGTTAAACATAACAACCAAACTGAAGCACAGGTTTTTGGTTAAGTGACAACAGTGACAATAAAAAACACAACAATATAAATGCATTCATACATAAAACTTGTGTTTATTCCCTCCTAGTTTAAAGAGTGATTTAGCTTAAGACTTAGCTAAGTATTGTAAAAGATGTTTTGAGCAAATACTCTCATCTTCCAAATACACATTATAGCCATGCTCACATCTCCTTCCCTTTTCTTATTTTCTTCAACTTTAACCCACTATCATTCAGTATTCATCTAGGTTTTCAATTATTGAGAACTGTGATTTCCAATACATAAGGCTTTATCTAGCACGAAGCTTGATTAATAGGGCTAGTCAACTATTTATAGAATGAATAGATCAAGATGGGCTTGTTAGTAGAATTACTCCATTAACATTGTCACTTCAAATCATTAAAATATATACTGCATGACCTGCACCCAATGAATTGATTATTCATATAAATTTTAACATAGCCATTTAATCGTCCCATCACTCATAAAACATATTAGTTTTAATAGAAAAACTGTCATGCACTACCAGCTGCTAAATTTCATTTTTTACCTGTCTGCCATCTAATTTGGCATCATTTAATTAAATTACAAAATATGATGATAAATGCCACGGAATAAAATAAACTAAAAGAGAAACAGTGATTCTATGAAGAACACTTCCTTTTCAAAAGTATTTTTTGAAAACATTTCATTGACATAATGCAACATTTAACATTATATATGTGTAATGATAACATAAATAAAATATTAGAACATGCAGCTGTGTTCTGGATAATATCATGCTGTTTCACATAGCACCATTCCCTATTCCTTTAGCTACTGGATTACTGGAAAAAAATGTATCTCAAAATCTAATCAAGTCATTTGAAAATATGTCATTTATATTCTTATTTTATCTCGCAATCAACATTTGTTAAAACCTCAGGAAGTAAATTGATAGAATGTGTTTCAAACAACCAATATTATGCTTTGGTCCTTTTACATCAACAAAGTAATAAAATATTTATTACTCTCTACTTTATCTCTTCTTTATGATAGATAGATACATACATAGATGATAGATTATTTATTTGTATAGACATATATGTAAATATATCATACACACACACAGACACACACATACACACACACACACACACACAAACACACACACAGAGTCCTTGACTTACGATGGTTTAACTTAGAATTTCTCAACTCTATAGTGGAATAAAACTTTTGGGATTTCAACCTAATGTACAGACTTCAATAAATTACATGAGATATTTAATACTTTATTATAAAGTAGGCATTATGTTAGAAGATTTTGCCTAACTGTAGGCTAATGTAAGCTTTCTGAGTGTGATTAAGGTAGGCTAAGCTAAGTTATGATGTTCAATGGGTTAGGTTTATTAATTGCATTTTTTACTTAAAATATTTTCAACTTATGATGGGTTGATAGAGATGCAACACCATAGTGTGTTAAGAAGTAGCTGTAGATATATAGATAACACATAGGTATGTACCTATATATACATTTAATATTTCTCATGTTTCTGGTACTGATAAAATGCAAGTGAATCAAAGATGTGTAAGATACATAGAAACAATGATTCCTATCATCAAATAGTCAAGAGTAAAATTGGAAAAAAATAGAAAATTAAGAATACATTTTAGGATTTTCAGTCAACAGAATACTCAGTAGTTATCCAAAATTTTAGGCATTTGAACATATAAGTGGTGATTTTATATATGTGTGAGTGTGTATATATGTATGTATATGTGTATATGTATGTATCTATCTACCTATCACCATGATGCCATGGTGATTTCATAAAAATAATAGGATTTATATCTCAGATAAAAATATGTATTGTAACTTATAGAAAATTGAATGCTTACTTGCTGATCAAGGTTCTCAATGTATATGTCAATGAGAACAGAAATAGTGAATTTTATTATATTTTGATACATAGCAACTTAAAAGAAGATCTAGTTAAGCTATTATAAAGGTGAGAATTAAAATATTTAAAAAATTTTATATTCAACTAAGCATTTATCTTTTTTATTTTTTATTTATTTGGGTACAAATAGTTTTTCGTTACATGAATGAATTGTATAATGGTGAAGTCTGCTATTTTAGTGCACCCGTCACCGAGTAGTGTACATTGTACTCAATATGTAGTTTTTTGTCCCTCATCTCCCCCATTCTCCCGCTTCTGAGTCTCCATAGTCCATTATATCACTCTGTATGCCTTTGTGTACTCAGAGCTTAGCTTCCACTTATAAGTGAGAACATACGATATATGGTTTTCCATTACTGAATTACTTCACTTAGAATAATGGCCTCCAGCTCAGTCCAAATTGCTGCAAAAGACGTTGTTTTATTCTATTTTTATGACTGAGTAGTGTTTCATCATATATATATACGTATATGTGTATATATGTGTGTGTATATATATACACATATATAGTATATATATACACATATATATATGTGTATATATATACACACACACACATATATATATATATCACATTTTTTAATCCAGTCATTGGTTAATGGACACTTAGGTGGGTTCCAAATCTTTGCAATTATGAATTTTGCTGCAATATACATATGTGTGCAAGTGTCATTTTGATATGAAGTCTTCCTTTCCTTTGGGCATACCCAGTAGTGGGAGTGCTGGATTGCATGGTGGATTGAATGGTAGATCTACCTTTAGCTCTTTAAGAAATCTCCATACTGCAAAAATAAATTCTTAATACTATAAAAGATCAAATTAAACAAGTAACTCTTAGCATGACAAAAATGCAAGGAAGTATGTGAATCCAGAGAATTAATACTAAAATAAAGGAGTCACTGATGAAACATATGGAAAAGTAACAGTTAAAACAGAAACATTAAATAAAATATAATTAAAAATGCATACCTAAGTGTATATAAATTATTTTTCTGAACACCAATAAAAAACCCACAAGGCAAATAATATTTTATATTTCAAGTGCAGGTAAATACCAATGAAAACATAATCAGACTGGGATTATATTT
The DNA here is from genome assembly GCF_000001405.40 of Homo sapiens. Lineage (NCBI taxonomy): Eukaryota > Metazoa > Chordata > Mammalia > Primates > Hominidae > Homo > Homo sapiens. The sequence goes on along the minus strand of NC_000013.11, from coordinate 86,537,699 downwards.
CTTTCTTCAGTGTGAACAAGCAAACAGAAGACTATTTTTAGGAAACTGTAGCAAAGTTTTTTTACCTAATAATACGCTATCTGAAGTAGAAAAAAGTCTAATATACCAGCCATCACACATGAGTTAGCAAAACCAAAACTTGCTAGACCCCAAAAACTTCAGATATAAAACATATTTAAGGAAATCATTTAAGTAATAGATAAGCTCTGTGAAAACTATAGCAGAAGTATACAGTAATTATATAATAACTATTGTCTATATATATATTTACCAAGACAACATGCTGTATTTTACACATAATGTGTGAAATTTAATTTGTATTAAATTTTTCACAAAAATTATATAATAAAAATTTATTGTTATTACTATATCTCAAATGATAACAGGCTTATAAAATTAAATATGTTCCCAGGAATTGGGAACATACAGCTTGTAAAAAATGCCATCTAAGTTTTGAACTTTACACTTCATGAACATGTAAAACAAACAGAAAGCAGCAAGCAAGATAGTATACTGAAATCTAACCTTATCAATAATTATATTTAATTGGCCTAAATATTATAATCTTTTAAAAATTACCAAATTAGAAACAAAGCAATACCTAGATATATGCTTTCTACCAGAAAATAGCTTGAAATATAAAAAGACACACATTAATAAATATTAAAGTATGACAGAAGATATACCCTGCCAACATTAATTAAAAGAAATCTAAGGTAATTCTATAATATGAAACAAAATAGAAATCAGAACGAAGACTCTTACCAAGGACAAAAGAAAATACCTTATAAAACAAAAAAGTTCAATTAACCAAGAAGGCATAGTAACTTTAAACATGTATCATTAATAGTAGCTAAAACTACAAAAATATAAAAAGATTGCAGAAAAATCCAAAATTATAGTTGCAAGTATCAACTTTAATATCTCAGGAATTAATAAAATAACTAAGCAAAATTTCAGTAAGAGTAATTGTTAGAACTGAGCAATATTTTGCTTCTGTTACAACTGGATAGCCACATGAAAAAGAAGAAAGTTGGATCACTAACTCACTCCACAAATAAAACTAATTCAAAAGAGATCAACAACCTAAATATGATACCTAAAACTATAAAACTATTAAAAGAAAAATAGGGACAAATCTTCATGAACTTAAAGTTGGTCTTGGAATTGACAAGAAAAGGCTGAGCGTGGAGGCTCATGCCTGTAATCCCAGCACTTTGGGAGGCAGAGGCAGGTGGATCACGAGATCAGGAGTTTGAGAGGAGCCTGGCCAACATGGTGAAACCCTGTCTCTACTAAAAATACAAAAATCAGCCGGGCAGGGTGGCACATGCCTGTAATTCCAGCTACTCAGGAGGCTGAGGGAGGAGAATTGCTTGAACCTGGGAGGCGGTTGTTGCAGTAAGCCAAGATCACGCCACGGCACTTCAGCCTGGGCGACAGAGCAAGACTCCGTCTCAAAAATAAATAAATAAAAGATTTGACCAAAAAAAAAAAAAAAAAGTGAGCAACAAAAAGTAAAAAAAAAAAAAATTAAAAAATTGAACTTCATCAAGATCAAATAGTTTTGCCATCACAGGACTATATCAAGAAAGTGAAAAAAGCTTTGGAATGGGAAAAATATTTACAAATAATATATCTGATTATTCTTTAATATTCAGAATAGATAAAGAAGCAAATACAAATAAAGAAGGAAATACAAATCAAACTACAATGAAGTTTTAATTTATACCCACTAGGATGGACACAATAATGAAATTAAAAAGAAATTACAAGTGTTGGTGACAATGTGGAGAAATAGGAACTCTTGTACATTGCCAGTGGACACGTCAAACAGTGTGGCCACTGGAACACACTTTGGTGTTTCCTCAAAAAGTTAAATGTAAAATTATCATATAACTCCAGCACTGAGTTGTGGGATATTATTGTCATGGAGGTGAATAAAGGTTGATTTAGGAGAGGGTACTATAATGTGGAGGAAACATACAGCCCATTTATGGTTTGGGAAAAAGGTTTACTCCTTTGAGCTTGGTTGGGTTAAAACATTGTATTGCCTGCTCTCATAATGCTGGAAGGATAAAGAGATCAATAAAGTTTCCTCAGATTCTGCAAAAAAAAAAAAAAAAAATTGAAATCATATACCTGTTCACAAATGATGTTAGCAGCAATAGTCAAAATAACTAAAAAGTGAGAAAAAATGCCCATCAATGGGTAAATGGATAAAGACATTTTGGTGTATACATACAACGGTATATTATTCAGTCAGGAAAATGAATGAAGCAGTTAAACATCCTAAAACAGCATAAACTTTAAAAAATATGCTAAGCAAAAGAAGCCTAAAACAAAAGGTCAAATATCATATGTTTTCTTTTACTTGAAATATCAAGAATAGGCAAATACATAGAGACAGAAAGAAGATTAATTTTTGCTGGCCAGGCAGCATGGCTCATGCCTGTAATCCCAGTACTTGGGAGGCCAAGGCGAGTGGATCACCTGAGGTCAGGAGTTCGAGATCAGCCTGGCCAACATGATGAAACCCTATCTCTACTAAAAATGCGTAAATTAGCTGAACATACCCCTGTAATCCCAGCAACTCGGGAGGCCGAGTCAGGAGAATCACTTGGACCTGGGAGGTGGAGGTTGCAGTGAGCCGAGCTGGCGCCACTCTACTTCAGCCTGGACGACAGAGCGAGAACCCCTCTCAAAAAAAAAAAAAAAAAAAAAAAAAAAAAAATTGCTGAAAATAGAGGGAAGGAAAAATGGAGATTAACACAATGTATATGGAATTTTGGGGGTGTGATACAAAAATTGAAATGAGAGATAGTGATTGCAAGAAATTATGAATTTACCACTTAAAATGTATTGACTAAAAGTCAAATACATCACTCACGTACTTGTAATTTTCTGCTGTCTTCCTATCTTATGTCAAGCTATACTCTTTCCAGTGACCTACAACTTTATCTTCTATTTTACTTCCTGTTATTCATTTTACTACAACCAAAGTGGTCAAGTTTGACAGGAGAGTTTTGCCAGAGCAATTGGAAGGGTTGGTGTGTCAACAACTTAGACCGGGCAATGACGATGTCAGTTTCATGAATTATAAGGATTCAGTTACTCATCTGTTAAATTTCAGAAGTTATTAAAACTCCAAAAGCATACTAAGTTTGCAATTGGGTATGTAATTGTGAAATTAAATGAAGAGATATTTGTGGTCACATGTGCAACGTTACATGAGTCCCTTAGAATAGATCTCTAAGTAAAACACGGGCGTTATATTCATTTCCTAAGGCTGCCATAACAAAGGAACACAGACTAAGTCGTTTGAACAAAAGAAATTTATTTTGTCACTCTTTTGGAGGCTATAAGTCTAACATGAAGGTTTTGGAAGAGTTGATTTCTTCTGAGCACTCTCCTTGGCCTATATAGATAACTATCTTTTCCTTGTATTTATATGGTCTACCCTCTGTGTCTAACTTCACATTTCCTCTTTTTATAGAGACATCAATCATAATATTAAATTATGACCAACCCTAATCATTTCATTTAAAACTTGACTGCCTCTTTAAACACCCCAAGGCATAATATTATTTAAAGATAGGCTGTAATTGAAAATATCATCACATTCTGAGGCATTAAAAGTTAAGACTTCAACACATGAGTTTTGAGTGGGGGCGGGCATAATTTATCATATAACAGGTGGTCATTTTTAATCTATGCTTCCTGGGAGAGCCAAGAAGATAGTATCTTCATAAAGGCAATATGGAATGCACTGTAAAGGAAAGTTGGTATAATGCACCATCTTTGAGAAGACATATGCTTGTTGTCTACTGTAAGTTTCAAATAACACTAAGAAATACTGCATGGAACTGGTATCCGTCATATCAATGAAAGTGATGAAATTCTGGAATGTCAAAGGCCAGATGGCAGTACATAACTGTCAAAGAAAATTGAGTATTATTTCCATAATGGTCATCAAGGCAGGCATGGCAATCTGCATATTTGTCATGAGGGTATTAAAAAAATTTCTTGGTACTCTAAGAAGTGAGATGGAAAAAGAGAAAAACTCATGAGCAGAAAGCTCATCTGAGACATCAAGGTGATAAACAACATTACTGAATAAGGCTTGTCAACTTAAGATATATTTAAGTGATTGAAGTAGGGACAAATCTTCTTTAGTAAAGATTTATCAATGCCACTGTATACACCTCTGATCCTTTTCCAATAGAAGCTTTTGTCATTTGCCAGGGCAACTGTGTACTTTATTGATTACATTTAGGATAATGACTGAGTTGACACTGGAACCAAGTTTCCTAAAGTGCTAAAATAATATTCTGGATTGACAAACATAATACTAAATAATAATGGTTTTGACTTAAGTTGATCCCATAGGGTATCAAATGTGTCCATGGGCACTCTTATATTTTCCAGTCTGTGGGTATCTATTTGGGATGGATATACTTAGCATGTGGAAGTATGTTCACATACTGGTTTCTGCATTGGACCTTTGTGCTAAAAAGTTGTAAAAGAAAGACCCTGAAACTACCAATCCTTGCTAGTATTACCAAAAGCAAAACCTCATTCTAGAAAGATTTACAAAGAAATCACTAACATCAGAAACGTTAAAGATGCAGAAGGTCTTGTCTCCATCATTGCTCTTTTTAATTTACTTTCTGAACCTCTGTGGAAAGTAGAAAAATGCTCCATTCTTAATCATTGGATAGACCAAAATCTTGGTATGTCAAATGTTATATTTTTATTGAAACAGATCAATATAGTTTCTTACATTTTGTATGCAGCTCACATTTGGTGAGTGTTTGTTTTTCTTATTGCTCCTTAGCAAGGAGGATCAAAAGCATCTCATCAGTAGAAGTCATATTTCAGTAGGGCATCCTCAGTCTTTTGCTACGGGACTGCATTTACTCTTCTGTCTTAGACATAATATATTCTGTAGAGTCCTTGATCACACTGATATTCTGCTGACATTCATGCTTGTCTTCTGCATTGGTGACATTATACTATTTTAGGTCTCTGGAGTAGGAAGTGGTAGGAACCCTAAATTTTCTAGTAAGTAGCATGCTTTTCAGAATGTCAAAATGATCTCTAAGAAGTTCAAGAGGATTGACAATTGGTGATGTTTTTATGGATGCAGTAATTTTGGATAATCTAGGACATCCCATTTTAGGTAAAACTCATTCTACTCCCAAGAAACTGACTTATTCTACCAATAAATAGTTTATGCACCTCTTTGTGTTTACAAGGTAGTATATACTACACATAAGACTATCATCCTATTTAACAAGTGACTAGAAACCTGGCTGGTTCTGAATGCAGCCTGGAAGAAGAGTTATCTGCAGTAGGAGCAAGCTGCAGAGCAAGCTCCTTTACCATCAGGACCACGGACCCAGCAGCACCAAGGTGATACAGATTAATTAGCAAACCATCTGCACCTAGGTGCTGAAGGTGATTCTAAGCTTGAAATTGATATTCATCATTCTTCTACTGTAAACTTAGAGCCTGTTGCACTATTTCTCATCCATCAGACCTATACCCAAGTTAGATATTCAAATGACCGGTTAAGACAGGTAAATAGTTAATTAAGAATAGCACAAGCTGATGGCAAATTGTCTCATACATCAAGAACTAAAATCTTAAAACAATCAGTAAACACACAAATCAGAAAATATATGAATTAAGATAGAATTTAATAACCAAAGTGTAATTATTCAAGTAATGTAACATGCTTTAATATTTAAATCAGTATAATTCACAAACTAACAGAATTAAAAAATAATAATATGATCATTTTATTTGATGTGGCTTTGGTAAAACTGAGTAACCATTAATGTAAAAACCCTTTTGAGTAACTAGCCAGGGGTGGTGACATACATGTGTAGTCCCAGCAACTTTGGAGACTGAGAAAGGGAGATCACTTGAGCCCAGGAGTTTGGGACTGCAGTGAGCTATGATTGCACCACTGCACTCCAGCCTGGGTGGCAGAGCAAGACCTTGTTTCTAAAAATCAACCAGACAGCAACAACAAAAAGCCCACTTCTTTTCAGTAAAGTGGAAATAGAATGGAACTCTCTTAATCTGAAAAATAAAATTTTTAAAAAATATAGCATATACAATGCTCAAAGGTGAAATATAAAAAGCTTTTTTCCTCATACTGGGAATGACAAAAAATTCCTATGCATAAAATTTCCTTTTATAATTCTCTTTAATTTTTAGTTTTAATGGTAAATCAATAAATTAAAGTTATATATATTTATGGGGTACAAGTGATGTTATGATTTATGAGCACAGTGCCAAATAATCACATCAATCCAATGAACATATCCATTATCTCAAATAGTAATTACTTTTTGTAGTTAAAATATTTGAAATTCACTCTTAATGATTTTGAAATATACATTATTATTTAGTATATTCACCATGCTGTGCAATATATCACAAGGGAAAAATAAAGTTCCTGCCTAATTAAGATTTTGTACCATTATTTCCTCATTCCTCCTACTCTCCAGCATCTACTGGCCATCATTCTAGTCTCAGTTTCTTTGAGTTAAGATTGTTTTAGATGCCACAAATAAGTGAGAATAGGTGGGATTTGCTCCTCTGTGCCTAGCCCATTTTACTCAGCATAATGTTCTTCAATTTCATCCATGTTGTTGCAAATGACAAAATTCCCTTCCTTTTTAAGGCTGAACAATATTTCATTGAGTATACATATCACATTTTCTCTATCCATTCATCTGGGCATATCACTTCCATATAATATTTTAATAAAGTTCCTAGCCAAAGCAAAATAAAATTACAAAGAAATATAAAAATTATAAGAATAAGGATAAGCAAACTAAAAATCCTTACTTGCAGATGACAAAATTGTATATAAATTAAATACAAAATAATCAACAAATACACTATTAAAGTGTGAACTTATAAAAATTATTTTATACAAGATAAACAAAGAACAGCACAATATATTTCTTTAACCAACAATATGGAAACAAAAAGTAACCTTTAATTAAATGTGCAATTTACAATAGCAATCAATGAACACATTGAAATCAATTAAGAGGATAGAAGTGTTAAGGCCTCTACCCTAAATGTGCAAAACATTATAGAGAAAACTAAAACTAAATCTAAATAAATGATGAGATATGCCATGTCTTTTTTTGGAAGATTCAATATTTTAAGTCATCAGATTTATCCACAAATTAATGCAATCCAAATCAAAATTCCATCAGGCATTTTTTGAAATGTATATGTTGTTTCTGAAAGGTATGTAGGAATACGAAAGACCGAGAGTAGAAAAGGCAGTCTGTAAGAAAACAATTATGATGGACTTATATTAAAAGTCACTAGGCTATATTATAAAGCTATATTAAAGTAATATATTGTGCTATTAGCACATTGATGGAAAAATAGGCCAATGGAACAGAATATAAAGTATAGAAATTATGTCCACAAATACATAGTTATTTGTTCATGATATCCTTTAGTGAGGGAAAGTAAGTACTTTTAGTAAAATCTGCTTAGCTAACTTGATATTCACATGGAAAAAATATGGACTCTTTCTCAATGTTATAAACAAATAAATACAAGATGGATCTAGAGCTACATAAAAGGTTAAAGCTTGATTCTACCATCTGTCAGATGGTTGAATATCTTGCAAATCATATTTTGTTACATCTGTAGCAAAAACATGAAATTTTATTCTCTCCTATCTTATTTAGATAGGAGAGAATAAAAACAGAGTTACAACTTAGAAGACAATATTTGCAGTACACACATGTGAGAAAGGACTCAATATAAAATATATTAAAAACATGCAAATAACTAAGAAAAAACACAATTATTCCAATAGAAAAATGGGCAAAACAGTGAAAAGGGAAGTAAACAAATGAAAATAGCCAAGAAATGTATGGCCATAGGAAAATGCACTAGTCGTAGAATATTTAATCACAGTGACTGTAATGTGTTTAGTCATTGTGTATTTAGTGCATGTACTAGTGTACTTACAATAGTGTATGGAGTCACAGGGAAAATGCAAATTCAAATCATCTGAATTTTACTGCATATTCACCCTGTAGATCCAAAATGAAAAAAAGACAGACCATACCAAATGTTGATACTCATTTATCCAAGACCATGAGGCCAACTTCATCCTGAGTAAAGTTTGGTTTATTGGCTCATCATACTCAATGAAAAGACATATCATTGTGAATTCTAGGGTATCTCAGTAAAAGCTGATTTTTAGATGGATTCAAATAAGAGAGGTTTTGCTCTGAAATGACTGTTTTCAGAAATCTTTTTCCAGACTGGGTGCTGTTAGGTAGTGGGGTTAATTTAATGGTTTAGTAGCTTCATGAATATTACATAAGAGCCAGAAGAAATGGAATAAGGCTAAATACAATGGGTAAAGAAGCAGCAGTTGCTCAGGTTAGCTGGCAAGGGAACTAACCTTCGATGATATTTTTGGTGTACCCAGTGGCCTTGTTTTTGTCTCTGGTCAGAAAAACAATGACCTTATCTGATGTCAGTGATGTAAGAAACTGTTTATGTTTAACAGATAAACAACATTACTTAACTATGAGTGCCAGACCAGGTCCTACCACAGTGTATTAGTCCATTTTCACACTGTTATGAAGACATACCCAAGAGTGGGCAATTTATAAAGAAAAGAGCTTTAACTGACTCACAGTTCCATATGACTAAGGAGGCATCAGGAAACTTACAATCATGGCAGAAGGGGAAGAGGCATGTCTTACATGGCAGCAGGCAAGAGACAGCATGCAAGAGCAGGGAAAGCTACCGTATAAAACCATCAGTTCCTTTGAGCATTCACTCACTATCACAAGAAAAGCATGGGGGAAACCACCCCCATGATCCAATCACCTCCCTCCCTTGACCTCGGGGATTTGGGGAATTACATTTCAAGATGAGATTTGGGTGGAAACACACAGGCAAACCATGTCACCCAGCAAGTTATTAGCACCTAGACAGTTCCCATTTATGATCTTCTTGCAGCAATACCAGTTGGTTGTTTATTATTTGTGAGTCTATAGTGTTATTATCTTTTATATAAGTAAAATGGTTAGATCTATGTATTACTTGAGATTCAATTGAATTAGCATTGCCAGATTTAGAAAATTAAAAAAAATCATTTAGCAAATAAATGTAAGATGTAACTTTTAGTATCAGGATGACATATACAATATTGGGAACATACTAATGCTAAAAAATATTTATTATCTATCCGAAATTCAAATGTAACTTGGCATCCTGTATTTCATTTGGCAACTTGAAATTTTTACATTGTCCTTAGTGTATGTTAATTTATTAGAATAATTGTGGAAGAAAATGCTGCTGAATTAAAACTTGTGTAAACATTACGAAAACATACCTAACAGGATATTTAGGAATCTACATATGTTTTATTTGCAAATAAATACAGAAAATTATCTACTTTTACCATAAAATTTAAATAGCACAGTTCATAATTTAGTATATCTGGTTTAAATCTTCAGTTTCATACCAGTGTAACTGTTGTACATTTACTTTGCCTTTTTGAGTTTATTGATAAAATGGTGACAATAATAATTTATCTTTTCTAGAATTGTTAAGGATTAAATGATTAATGTATATAAATTTGTTAAGTAATGCATGACCCAGAATATGATCTCAATTAGTGTTCACTCTCATATTACAGATTTTAAAACATTTATTCTGTTATTCAGAATTATAGACAAGTGATTTTTTTCTGTTAGTCTTCAATAATCTCTACTAGTTCATAAAAACTCATTTCTATTCTTATCTGGTAAAGAGAGGTGAGGGGAGGTTTAACCATTTTGTTCAAGTTAAGACACTGTCTTCCTATTTCAAACATAGTCTCTTTTATGTGATTTAGCAATTACTTCGAACACTCAGTCTATTCAAAGTTAATCTCCTTTACAAGGCGATTTCATCCCATTCTTTCTTCCCAGGGGAATGTATAAAAAGAAGGAAAGTAATATAACACTATTTGTTTTGCTAATTCCACCAGGAAGATACTTCATTCAAATTAGTCTTTGGGTGTTTTTCCCTGTGGAGTGCTATCGTCTGTTGGTTTGACCACTCCCATATCCTTCCAGTGTATGCTAACATTTACTGCTATTTTCATGGTCCCAGAAAAAAATAATCTACAAGCATTCTCTTCCAGCTTTGTTCCCTCCCTAGCCCTGTTAACATTCACCACTTATCACTGCTTCTTCAGCATCTGCTCAACAAGAGCAAAGTAAAACTATGGATGTAATAACTTAGGACTTACTTCTCCCTCAGTACACCTTCATTCCTCTTTTTTTTTTTTTTTTTTTTTTGAGACGGAGTCTCACTCTGTCGCCCAGGCTGGAGTGCAGTGGCGCCATCTCAGCTCACGGCAAGCTCCGCCTCCCAGGTTCACGCCATTCTCCTGCCTCAGCCTCCCAAGTAGCTGGGACTACAGGCGCCCACCGCCACACCCGGCTAATTTTTTGTATTTTTAGTAGAGATGGGTTTCACCGTGTCAGCAAGAATGGTCTCGATCTCCTGACCTCGTGATCCGTCCGCCTCTGCCTCCCAAAGTGCTAGGATTACAGGCGTGAGCCACCGTGAGTGGCCCATACCTTTTTAATCTTCTACAGTGACAATCTAATATAGGTGTAAGATAATCTGAAAACTGCTCTATCCACAAAATTTCCAGATGGGAAGGAGATCATTCGTTCCTTCTGACTTGAATCCTCAAGCCTGTTACAAGGGCAATCATTCAAATTTCAAGTATTAGGTTTCAACACATAAAGAATAAAAAGATGAAAATTTAATCACATGTACTCACTTGTATATAATTTTTTTAAGTATCCAACATCCCAGAAAATAGATCAAAGCAATTCATGTTTGAAGTATATTGCTGTTTGGCCAAATCCTGTGTTCTTCCTATCAACTATAATAAATAAGTGAGAAAAAAATCTATTAATTTTCCAAGTTATTTCTGTACATTCACTTGTCTATTCCTCAAATGATTTTGAGTTTTATAATATGCTCAATCCCTGGCTAATGATCAGGAATACAAAAATAATAACACAATATTATGCTATCAAAGACCTCAAAATGTTGTGTGATAAAATGGTACCTCTGTAGTTGATACTACTTAGAAATAAAACAAAATATGCTTATTTTTAACGCAGAGATAAGACTGCACTAAATTACCTTAAATGACTGTAATACATTTTATGTCATTTCCTAAAAATAAAATGATACATAAATATATCAGATATAAAATCTAAGCTTTGTGTTCCTTGAAAATAAAATCACAACCTATTGTATTAAAATCTTAGACAGCAATTCCAAGGAGAACTATCAATTCATTCAAATACATTGTTAATTTCAAATAGCAAGCATATTCATCTTATCAATAAGATTATTTCAAATGTTTGAATTTCTTATTTTAGCTAATTTGTTTAATTCAATTTTTCACTATATAACTCAATCCTCATTCAATTTCATATTATACCACTTTAACATTAAAGAGCCCAATGTTTCTATCACTCAAAATACAAGCAGAACTGAAATTTTATCTTCTAAACTTGATGTATTAAATAAGTTTGAGAAATAAGCTATGTACCAATTGGTGGAGCAGGAAGTAAACATTATTTTCATCCTGTAGTCTCATTTGACAGTAAACATTATTTTCATCCGGTAGTCTCATTTGACCTCTTTCTTTTTTTATGTGCCACCAGGTTTCTTATGGTTTGTCATATTTTATAAGCCCCAGACATCCAATTATACTTCCTCTTCTTTATCATTATTATCATTCACAGCTTTACTTGCTGTTAAGTGAACCTCACCAGTTTGGTGTATTTGATAGCATTCATTTAGAGTACTTATTTCTGTTTTCCAAAAAAAGTATTATTAAATTTAGATGCTCATGACAATTTAACAGATAAATCATGAATGCTGAATTTTCAATCCAGAATATTTTACGTTTTTATTCTAAAATCCAATGAGGAATTTTTCAATTAAAGAATTCAGTTTTTAACTCTTACTGAAATACAAAATACCTCAATAAGTATAAGGTGTATAAATTGTGAGTTCAATGAGTTTTCATCAGTTCAACCCACTCATGTAACCAGTACCCAAATCAAGATGCAGACAATGGCTGAATCCTGAATGCCCTCTCCAATCACAGCTGAAACACAAAAGGGTAACCACTATCTGACGCTTAATCACACAGATTAGTCTTACTGTATATACAGTAAATACCACCTATATGGTCATATAGTATGTATTCTTTCCTGTCTGGCTTCTTTAGTTCAATGAGGAAAACCTTAAGCATACATTAATTGATTCTATGTTTTGGAGCTCAGGATAAAGTCATGATTTTCATTTTTACCTTATAATGTGACTAAAAGATAGTGACGCCATATATATATATATGACACACACACACATATATATTTTGTTGTTTATCACATGAGCAGTCCAAGCTAGCCACAAACACATTTAAGCTATTTACTATATTCAATATTTGTATTTTACACATTTTTAAGTTCAATACCATTTCATTATTAATTCAGGATAAAATCTATTATATTTACTCCCTTTTACAATGTGATGAACAGGGTATTAAAAATAGAAATTTGGAATATTTAGAACTATCTCCAGTAGCCTCCAGTGGCAGTAACTTCATCCATCTATTTAGTCATTCATTCAGAAAAATCCTTATTGATCCCTTGCAATTTGTGTGTGTATTCTATTGGCACTGAGGTTTTTTTCAGATGAATCTGGCACTAATTTAATATATTCTATTCAATCAAATGATATAAGTAAAATTACAAGCATTTGAAGACAAGAAAGTGATTTATCTCTCTACATAAACACATATATTGATTTTTACAGTAGTGCATATTTGAATAGGCAAAATTTTAATCTCCAAAATTTATTCTGCTAGTTAGACCTAGATATTTCTCATATTAGAAAAAAAATACATGCAGTCTTCTGCTGAAAATATATATTTTATATATGTATATTTATATATACATATATAAATTTATATATATTAAATATAATATATATTAAATATATATATTTAAATATATATTAAATATAATATATATTAAATATAAGGTATATATGTATATATGTATATTTATATTATATATATCCTGAGCACTTCAAAAATGAAAAGTCTAAGAACTTTATAATTGTTTTCTTGTTCCTAACACTTGCGGGATACAACCTTACCCTAATGAATAAAATGGATATAATGTCTTAATATAATGCATGGAATCTGTGGCCATACAGGTAATGTTGAAAGAATTGCATTTGAGGCATCTTTCTATTTATTTCAGTAAAAGTGTGAACTTTAACCAAATACACATATTTGTTGACAGTCACAAGATATCAAGGATTTAAGGAACAAAATAGGCTAATTTGTCCAGAGACACTGTATTTTGATTCATTATCAGTATTTTCCCCAATTCAACTACCAAACTACTTAACAGAAGTCATCAAACATTTTTGGTCCTGCAACCCACAAATGGATCTTAAGGAATAAAAGGAAACTTTACACACTTTTTATCAATTTTTTAGTATAAAATTAAATATTTGCAAATAATAGGATTTTCAGCATATTTGGGATTTTTTCAAAAAATGATTACATTACTTATTTAAATCTACATGGCAAATCCCAAAAAATAGCCATCACCATATGTAAATTAATTTCACATTCATCATTTTAACATTTTTTATTGAATTGAACTAGTATTTTCATTTCACTATCACATAATTTTATACTAATGTACTATATCTTTTATATAGGCATTATTTTATTCTTATTTATAAGCATCTGTAAAGTTGTTAAATATTATCAAAAGCTAAAGTCAAATTAAAGTAAAATCATATTATTTTTTCATGTATCTCCATATCTCTATGAAAATATGTGATTATTACTTCAAGCTTTCATCATCTAGTTCTGCCATGATTATCCTTTACTTGCACTGCTTGGATTTCCCTTTGAAAAGGAGCTTGTTATTCAGCTGTGAATATGGCAGGTAGCTAACAGCCCCTAATTACAGCATCTTTACGTTCTGTCCCAACATTTAAGCAGAAACCACACATTACCTGAGAAGGCCCCAGGCAATGACTAAACTTAGCAGGATTACCAAGGCTGGTCATTTTTGTCCAATGCAGGACTCTACTGGGCAATGCTTATTTCAGAGATCTTCATCATGGTGGCCAAGAATTTGTCAGGTCTGGATAGCGGTCTCAGGCTTTACCTTCTTTTCTGGCTTCCTTCCATCTTATGTTCAATGAGTTTCACATCTGCATTGTGTTCTGAAATTTCTTAATTTCATAAGGTGCAATTTGTCTATTTTTTCTTTTGCTGCTAATGCTGTCATATCCAAGAAATCACTTCCAAATCTAATATCATAAAGCATTTGTGTTACGCTTACTTCTAAGAGTTTTATATATTGAAGTCTTACATTTTAGTCTTGTATTTTGAATTAATTTTTGTATATAAGATTAGGTAAAGGTTCAACTTCTTTCTTTTATAGGTGGATATCCAGTTTTCCCATTATCATTTGCTGGAAAGACCATCTTTTACAAATTGAAAAATAATTTGATCATATATATGAGGACTTATTTCTGGGCTCTAAATTCATTCTGTTGGACTATATATGCCTTCCCTGATGCCAGTAATACACTGTTTTAATTATTGTTGCTTTGTAGCAAGTTTTCAAATCAGAAAGTATGAGTTTTCTAGCTTTCTTATTTTATTTAAGATTTTCAAAAAACTTTTATGTTTAAGGGTACAGGTGCAGGTTTGTTATATAGGTAAATTCATGTCAGAGGATTTGTTGTACAGATTGTTTTGTCACCCAGATATTAAGCCCAGTACCCATTAATTATTTTTCCTTATCCTCTCCCTCCTCCTATCCTTCACCCTCCAGTAGGCCCCAGTGCTTGTTCCCCTCTGTATGTCTATGTGTCCTCATCATTTAGCTCCTACTTGTAAGTGAGAATATGTGTATATGGTTTTCTGTTCCTGTGTTAGTTTGCTAAGGCTAATGACTTTATAATAATAATATAGATAATGTTCCATTCATGTTTCTGCAAATAATATAATCTGATTCATTTTTATGGCTGCATAGCATTCCATGGTGTATAATGTACCAAATTTTCTTTATCTGGTCTACCATTTATGGGCATTTAAGTTGATTCCATGTATTTGCTATTGGGAATGGTGCTACAATGAACATAGCATGTATGTGTCTTTATGGTAGAATGACATATTTGTTTGGGTATATACCCAGTAATGAGATTGCTGGGTTTAATGGTATTTCTGTTTTTAGATCTTTGAGGAATTGCCACAGTGTTTTCCAAATGGTTGTACTAATTTATAATCCTGCCAACTATACATCGGCATTAATTTTGCTGCACAATCTCACCAACACCTGTTATTATTTGGCTTTTTAATATCCAGCTGTTCTGACTGGTGTGAGATGGTATCTCATTGTGGTTTTGATTTGCATTTATCTATGATCAGTGATGTTGAGCATTTTTTCAATATGCTTATCAGTCACATGTATGTATTCTGTTGAAAAGTTCGTGTCTTGTGCCTACTTTTTAATGAGGTCATTCATTTTTTTCTTGTGAATTTGTTTAAGTTTCTTACAGATGCTGAATATTAGACCTTTGTCAGGTGCATAGTTTGCAAATATTTTCTCCTATTCTGTAGGTTGTCTATTTACTCTGTTGATAGTTGCTTTTGCTGTACAGAGCTCTTTAATTAGATCACATTTGTCAATTTTTGCTTTTATTGTGATTGCTTTTGCCAACTGTTATGAAATCTTTGCCAGGTCCTATGTTCGTTATGGTATTGCATCCGTTGTCTTCCAGCGTTTCTACATTTTGGAATTTTACATTTAAGTCTTTAATCTATATTCAGTTGATTTTTTATATATGATTTTTTGTATATGTTGTAAGGAAGGGGTCCAGTTTCAATTTTCTGCACATGGCCAGCCAGTTATCCCACCATCACTTACTGAAAAGGGAGTCATTTCTCTGTTGCTTGTTTTTGTTAGCTTTATCAAAGAACAGATGGTTGTAGGTGTGTGGCCTCATTTCTGGGCTCTCTATTCTCTTCCATCAGTCTGTGTGTTCAGTACCATGCTGTTTTGGTTACTGTAGCCCTGCAGTATAGTTTGAAGTCAGGTAGCGTGACACTTTCAGCTCTGTTCTTTTTGCTTAGGATTTCCTTGACTATTTGAGCTCTTTTTTGTTTCCATATGCATTTTTTAATCATTGTTTTCTAGTTTGTGAAGAATATCATTTGGCAGTTTGATAGGAATAGCACTGAATATGTAAATTGCTTTGGGCAGTATAGCAAGTTGGTGATATGGATTCTATCTATGAACATGAAATTTTTTCCATTTGTTTTGTGTCATCTCTAATTTTTTTTTTTTGAGGGGTGTTCTGTAGTTCTTCTTGTAGAGATCTTTCAACTCCCTCATTAACTGTACTCTTAGGTATTTTATTCTTTTTGTGACAGGAGTGAGTGAGATTGCATTCCTAATTTGGTTTTCAGCTTGACTCTTGTTGAAGTAGTAGAACGCTAGTAATTTTTGTACTTTGATTGTGTATACTGAAGCATCACTGAAGTTGTTTATCAGCTTAAGGAGCTTTTGGGTTGCAACAGTAGGGTTTTCTAGATATGGAATCATGTCATCTGCAAACAGGAATCATTTGACTTCCTCTCTTCCTATTTGGATGCCCTTTATTTATTTCTCTTGCCTGATTGCTCTGGCCAGGATTTTCAATGCTGTGTTGAAAATGGGTGGTGAGAGACAGCATTCTTGTCTTGTGCCAGTTTTTAAGGAAAATGCTTTCAGCTTTTGCCTATTTAGTATATTGGCTGTGGGTTTGTGGGAGACTTCAACATCTCACTGACAGTATTAGACAGATCATCAAGGCAGAAAATTAACAAAGATAGTCAGGACTTAAACTCAGTGCTGAATCAAATGGACCTGATAGAAACCTAGAGAAAATTACTAGCATTCTACTACTTCAGCAAGAATGACATATGGGTAAATCACGAAATTAAAGTGTAAATCAATAACTTCTTTGAAATTAATGAGAACAAAGATACAACATACCAGAATCTCTGGGACACAGCTAAGTCAGTATTAAGAGGGAAATTTATAGCACTAAATGCCCATGTCAAAAAGTAAGAAAGATCTCAATTTAACAACCAAATATCACAACTAAAAGAACTAGAGAAACAAGAGCAAACCAACCCCAAAGCTAGCAGAAGACAATATATAGGGAAAATCAGAGTCTAACTAAACAAAACTGAGACACAAAAAAAACAATCAAAAGATGGACGAATCCAGGAGATTGTTTTTTGAAAAAAAATTATAAGAGATAGGACACTAGACTAATTTTAAAAAAGGGAGAAAATCCAAATAAACACCATTAGAAATGATGAAGGAAATGTTACTACTTACCCCACAGAAATAATAACAACTATTGGAAACTAGTATGGACACCTCTATGCATACAAACTAGAAAATCTAAAAGAGGTGGACCAGTTCCTGGATACATACACCGTCTGAAGACTGAACCAGGCAGAACGGACTCCCTGAGCAGAAAAAAAAAAAAAAAAAAAAAAAAAACAAGCTCCAAAATGGAATCAGTAATAAGTCACCTACCAAACAAAAACTGCCCAGGGCCAGATGGAGGCACAGCCAAATTCTACCAGATGTACAAAAAAACAGCTGATACCATTTCTACTGAAGTTATTCCAGAAAACTGAGAAGAAGGGACTCTTCCCTAACCCATTCTGTGAGGCCAGTGTCATCCTAATACTAAAGCCTAGCAGAGACCAAACAGCAACAGCAAAATTTCACACCAATATCATTGATGAACATTATACAAAAATCCTTAACAACACACTGGCAAACCCAATGTAGCAGCATATCAAAAAGCTTATCCACCAGAATCCAGTAGGCTTTACCCCTGGGATGCAAGGTTGGTTTAACATATGAAAATCAATAAATGTGATTCATCACATAAACAGAGCTAAAGACAAAAACCTCATGATTATCTCAATAGATGCAGAAAAGGCTTTCGATAATATTCAACACCTCTTCATATTAAAAACTCTCAATAAACGAGGTATTGAAGGAACATACCTCAAAATAGTAAGAGCCATCTCATATTTAAAAAAAAATTATGTGTTCTGTGAGATGCCATTTCAATGAAGTTTATGATGGGTTTCTCCATTTCAGCCTAAAAAAAATATTTTCAGGATTTTTATACGGGTTGCTTTGAGTCTATAGATAACTTTGGTAAGTACTGACATTTAAAAATATGGTCTTTTAATTCATGAACATGGATGTGTTTCTATTTTCTTATGTCTCCTATAATTTCTTTCAGCAATGTTTTAGAGTTTTCATTGTATAAACTTTTACTGCTTAGATTAATTCCTAAGCATTTTTATTTCTTTTAAAAACTATTGTCAATGGAATTGTTTTCATCATTTGTTTTACAGATTATTCATTGTTAATGTGTAGGACTGCAACTGCTTTTTGTGTGTTGACTTTGGATACTGCCCCTTGGTAAAATTGTTTATTAGTTCTAACAGTTTATGTATGTATCTGTGTTTCTGCATGTGTGTATGTGTGTGTGAGTGTGTGTGTATCTTTAAGGTTTTCTACATATAAAAGATCCTATCGTCTGCAGACAGAAATAACTTTACTTCTTCCTTTCTAATTTGGATTCCTTCTCATTTCTTTCTTTCTTTTAGGTCAATTGTTCAGGCTAGAACTTTCACTAATATGTTGAATTTAAAAAGTGATAAAAATGACCATTCTTGCCTTGATCTTCGAGGAAAAGCCGTCAATCTGTCTTCACTGAGTATAATGTCTGTTGTAGGTTTTTCATATGTGGCTCTATTTATGTTGAGGTAGTTTCCTTCTATCACTAGTTTGAGTTTTTTATAATGAAAAAGTGTTGAATTTGGTCAAATACTTTTTCTGTTTCAGTTGAGATAAATATATTTTTGTCCCTCCTTCTGTTAACGTAGTGTATTACATAGATCAATTTCCATATGTTGAATCATCCTTGCATTACAGGAAGAAATTTCTCTTGATTATAATGTTTGATATGGTTCAGCTCTGTGTCCTCACTCAAGTCTCATCTTAAATTGTACTCCCATAATTCCCACGTGTTGTGGGAGGGACCCAATGGGAGGTAATTTGAATCATGGGGGTGGTTTCTCCCATACTCTTCTCATGATAGGGAACAAGTCTCATGAGATCTGATGGTTTTATCAGAGATTTCTGCTTTTGCATGTTCCTCATTTTTCTCTTGCTGCTGCCATGTAAGAAGTGCCTTTTGCCTTCTGCCATGATTGTGAGGCCTCCCTAGCCATGTGGAAGTGTATGTCTAATTAAACCTCTTTTTCTCCCCAGTCTCGGGCATGTCTTTGTCAGCAGCATAAAAACGGAATAATACAGTAAACTGGTACCAGTAGTGTGGGGTGTTGCTGAAAAGATACCTGAAAATGTAGAAGCGCTTTGGAACTGGGTATCAGGCAGAGGTTCTAACAGTTGGAGGGCTCAGAAGAAGACAGGAAAATGTGGGAAAGTTTGGAACCTCCTAGAGACCTATTGAATGGCTTTGACAAAAATGCTGGTGGTGCTATGAACAATAAGGTCCAGGCTGAGGTGGTCTCAGATGGAGATGAGGAACTTGTTGAGAACTAAGGCAAAAGTGACTCTTATTATGTTTTAGCAAAGAGAATGGTGGCATTTTGCCCCTGCCCTAAAGATTTGTGGAACTTTGAACTTCAGAGAGATTATTTAGGGTATCTGGCAGAAGAAATTTCTAGGCAGCAAACCATTCAAAAGATGACTTGGGTGCTGTTAAAAGCATTCTGTTTTAAAAGAGAAACAGTATAGAAGTTCAGAAAATTTGTAGCCTCACGATGTAGTAGGAAAGAAAAATCCATTTTTTGAAAAGAAATTCTTGCAGGCTGCAGAAATTTTCATACATAAAAAGAAGCCAAATATTAATTCCCAAGACAATGGGGAAAATGTCTTCAGGGCATGTCATAGGTCTTCCTGGCAGCCCCTTCTGTCACAGACCCTGAAGCCTAGTAGAAAAAAATGATTTTGTGGGCTTGGCCCAGCGTGCCCATGTGTCCGGCCTAGGGACTTGAGGCCCTGCATCCCAGCCACTCTAGCCATTGCTAAAAGGGGACAAGGTATAGTTCAGCCCATGGTTTCAGAGGGTGCAAGCTCCAAACCTTGGCAGCTTCCACGTGATGTTGAGCCTACGGGTGGAAAGAAGTCAGAAATTGAGGTTTGGGAACCTCCTCCTAGATTTCAGAAGTTGTATGGAAACGCCTGGAGGCCCAGGCAGATGTTTGCTGCAGGGGCAGGGCCCTCATGGAGAACCTCTGCTAGGGCAGTGCAGAAGGGAACTATGGGGTTGGGGCCCCCACATAGAGTCCCTACTAGGGCATTGCCTAGTGGAGCTCCGGGAAGAGGGCTACCGTCCTCCAGACCCCAGAATGGCTAATCGACCAAAAACTTGCACCATGAACCTGGAAAAGCCACAGACATTCAATGCCAGCCTGTGATAACAGCTAGTAGGGGGCTATAGCCTGCAAAGCCACAAGGGTGGAACTTCCCAAGACTATGGGAACCTACCTCTTGCATCAGCATGACTTGGATGTGAGACATGTAGTCAAAGGAGACCATTTTGGAACTTTAGAATTTGACTGCCCCACTGAATTTCAGACTTGCATGGGCCAATTTCTCCCATTTAGAATGGCTGTATTTACCCAATATCAGTACCCCCATTGTATCTAGGAAGTAACTAGCTTGCTTTTGATTTTACAAGCTCAGTGGTGGAAGGGGTTTCCCTTCTCTCAATGTGACTGAACTGTGGACTTTTAGGTTAATGCTGAAATGGGTTAAAATGTTGGGGAACTGTTGAGAAGGCATGATTGGTTTGGAAATGTGAGGAGATGAGATTTGGAGGGGCCAAGGGCAGAAAGATATGGTTTGGCTCTGTGTCTCCACCCAAATCTTATCTTGAATTGTACTCCCATAATTCCCACATGTTGTGGGAGGGACCCAGTGGGAGATAATTTGAATCATGGGCTCAGTTTGATAATGAGTAAGTCTCAAGAGA
Source organism: Homo sapiens (assembly GCF_000001405.40). Taxonomy (NCBI): domain Eukaryota; kingdom Metazoa; phylum Chordata; class Mammalia; order Primates; family Hominidae; genus Homo; species Homo sapiens. The sequence continues at coordinate 86,516,483 of NC_000013.11, read as the reverse complement.
TCTGTTGATTTTATCAGAGGTTTCTGGTTTTGCATCTTCCTCATTTTCTTTTGCCGCTGCCATGTAAGAAGTGCTTTAACCTTCAGCCAGGATTCTGAGGCCTCCCCAGCCATGTGGAACTGTAAGTTCAATTGAACCTCTTTTTCTTCTCAGTCAGGTATGTCTTTATCAGTAGCAGGAAAATGGATTGATACAGTGTTTAATATGTTTTATACCCTGCTGAATTCAGTTCGCTAGTGTTTGGTTGAGAATTTTGCATGAGTTTGCAAGAGATATTGATCTGTACTTTTTAAAATTTATAGTGTCTTTTGCTTTGGTATCAGTGTAACACTGTCTCATGTCAGTGAGTTAGAAAGTACTCTCTTTTTTTGAAAAGTTTGAGAAGGATTATTGGTCTTTAAATGTCTGGTAGAATTCACCAGTGAAATCATCAGGTTCAGAGGTTTTCTCTGTTAGGATATTTTTGGTTATTAATCCAATTTTCCTACTAGTTATAGTTCTATTCAAATTATGTATTTCAATTTAGTCTTGGTAGATCTTATGTTTCTAGAAAACTGTCCTTTTTATATGGATTTATTCTATTTGTTGTCATATAATTTTTCATAGTAGTCTTTTAAAATCCTCTTTATTTCTGTAAAATCAGGAGTAATGTCCACATATTTAGTTGTAATTTTAGTAATTTGATAATTATCTCTTCTTGGTTCATCTAGCTAAAGGTTTGTGAATTTCTTTTTGTTCTGCCCAAAGAAAAAACAACTTTAGGGTTCATTGATTGCTGCTTTTGTGTTCTCTGTTTCATTTATGTGTATTCTAATCATTATTTCCTTTCTTCTGATAGTGTTGAGTTTATTTTTCCTTTTTTAGTTTCCTAAGTTGTAAATTTATGTTTTCAATTTGATTTTTGCTTAAATTTTTAATATAAGTGTTTATAAGAATAAATTCCTTCTTAGCATCACTTTTGTGTTTGAATTTTTATTCATCTCTAAATTATTTTCTAATTTTCCTTGTGATTTCTTTTTTGATCTATTGGTTGTTTACTAGAGTTTTGTTTAATTTTCACAAATTTGTGAATTTTCCAATTGTACTTTTGTTATTAATTTCTAACTTTATCTCTTTGTGCTTGAATAAGGTACTTTGTATTACATCTATCTTTTTACATTTTTTGAGATGGAATTTTGGCCCAATATATGATCTGTCCTGGAAAATGTCCCATGTGTACATGAGAAAAATGTCTATGCTGTTGTGTTTGGGCAGAGTGTTCTGTATATATATATATATATCTGTTAGATGTAGCTAGTTTACTGTGTTGTTTAAATCCTCTATTTTCTCACTCATCTTCTGTCAGTTTGTTTTATCCAATGTTGCCAATAAGGTATTAAATTCTGAAACTATTATTTTAGAACTTTCTTTTCTTCCCTTCAATCTGTCAGGTTTTTTTTTCTTATATATTTTGATAGTCTGCAAGTAGGTGAGTAAATGTTTATAATTGTTACATCTTCTTGCTGTATTAAAATTTTTATTAATACATAATGTTATTCTTTTGTTCCTGGGAACCTGTTTTGATTTTCAAAGAAATCAAAATATTTTACCCCAAAATATATTTATTTGATATATTTTGAAATGGCAGTTCAGAGAGTCAGCAAAGAGGAGTAGCCCTCTAAAGCTTTCTTTTGTGGGGGAGATTTACTTCCGTAAAGAATCTGTGAAGCCAGGCCTTCCACTGTCCAGATCTAGGAAAGATTAACTGAGTCTGACAACTTTAAAGCTCTGAAACAAACATTTATTATTAATTTTTTTGAGGGCTCCTATCTGTGAGATTTCTTCTACATAACAAAACCAGCTTTCCTAGCCAAGCCTCCTCTTCTCTCCTTCCCGTAAACTGTCTTTCCACTATAATTTGTTTTACCATTATAACCTGTTTTGGCAAGGATCCAATACCCCATTCTTTTCTGTAACCTCAAGATGGTACATACACTTTCTGAATCCCACTGAGGGAGTAGGTACTCACTCTGTGATTCTCCTTGTGTACCTGTTTAAAAAAATTGTAAACCTTTTCTCTTATTAATCTGCCTTTTGTGAGCTGATTTTTCAGCAAATCTTCTCAGAGTGAAAGGGAAGTTTTCCCTTGGTTCCTACAATGTAAAGTCTATTTTTTGTAATAGTTTAGTATAGCCACCTCTGATCTCTTTCGGTTCCCATTTGCTTGGAATAGGTTTTTCCATTCTGTAATTTAAAATCAATTTGTGTCTTTGGATCTAAAGTGAGTCTCCTGTAGACAGCACGTAGTTGGACCATATTATCTTCTTCATTCTGCTAATCTCTGTGTTTTGATTAGAGAGCATAATACTTTTACATTTAAGGTAATTACAGATAAGGAAAGACTTAATTTGTTCACTTCGTAATTTGTTTTAGGGATGCCTTATAGCTTTTTTTGTTCTTCATTTTATACGTTACTGTTTTCTTTGGTGTTTAGTTGATTTTTTTGTAGTAAGATATTTACTTAAAAAACTTCTTTTGTTTATATATTCTATAGGTATTTTTATTTTTGTCTTTACCATAGGAATTATATTTAATATTCTAAACTTATAGCACTCTTATTTGAATTTATACCAGCTTAATTTTGATAACATATAAAAACTTTGCAGCTGGGTGCAGTGGCTCACACCTGTCATCCCAGCACTTTGGGAGGCCAAGGAGGGCGGATCGCCTGAGGTCAGGAGTTTGAGACCAGCCTGGCCAACATGGTGAATCCCATCTCTACTAAAAATACAAAAATTAAATGGGCATGGTGGTGGGCGCCTGTAATTCTGCTACTTGGGAGGCTGAAGCAGAGGAATTGCTGGAACCCTGGAGGCGGAGGTTGCAGTGAGCCGAGATCATGCCACTGCACTCCAGTCTGGGCAACAAGAGTGAGACTCTGTCTCAAACAAAACAAACAAACAAACAAACAAAAAACTTTGCTTTTTTTGTAGCTCTGTCCTCAACTCTTTAGGTTGTTTGTATATGTCACAAAATTACATCTTTATGTATTGTGTGCCCCCCAAAATAAATAACTCTTTTAAATACATTAGGCTCTTAAATTATATAGAAAATAAAAGGTGAGGTTATAAAACAAAGTTACAATTGTATTAACATTTAGACTAATAGTATTTTTATGCATTATTCTCTTAAATCATACAGAAAACAAAAGTGGAGTTAATAACCGTTTTTAAAATACTACTAGCTTTTGTGACTGCCCATTCATTTGCCTTTTTTGAGAACTTTATTTTTTCATGTGGCTTTGAGTTACTGTCTAGTGTCTGTTGGGGGTCAGAAAACTATACACAAAAATGAAGGCCTCAGAAGCAAAAGTTTTTCTGTGACCATCTCCTGCACCATCAGTCCCATGCTCTCCCATGGCTAGCCATAGAAACTCGAACTCATCTTACCCAAAGTGTCTCATAGAAACCAGTACCTCTTGTCCCTAAAACCAACCATAAAATCTAAAAATATTACTCTAACTTTGCCTGCACATTTTTGTGTAAAAACTGGTCATCTAGAAATTATCTGACTTATCTTGTTGACTGTAGGTCATAAAATCCCCCATTCTAGAGAGAGTCTTGCCGCATATACAGAAGGAAACCTACTCAGGAAAAGCCAAGAAGAATCTGGACACAGAGACCTTGCTTGGTTTCCTCATTCTATCCATTAGCATGAGATCATATACTTTTTGTCCAATCATATTTCTACTTGGCTGTCCATACATACTGTGTTGAATCTAAGCATTTCCTCTGTATCTTTTGGTCTTCATTCTGAATGCTCCTTTATACCTGCACTAAATAAATTTGTATTCGTTTACTCTAGTTAATCTGCCTTAGTGAATTGATTTTTCAGTGAATCTTCAGAGGGCCTAGGGGAAAGCTCTCCTTTGGCTCCTACATTTCCTCTCATACTTCATTGGAAAGATAATCATAATATTGAATAAGTACTAGATTTCAAAAAGAAAAAAAAAATAAAATGTTATATTACTATATAATCAAAGAGCAATCTAAATTGTGTGTGTATATATATGTATGAAAATCCAATTATATTTTTGTATAATGCTATTTGTATAAACCTTACATGTCTAAGAAAATGAATTTTTCATTAAACATAAATCAGGGTAATAGAATTTGGAAAATAAAACTTTTAAAAATATTCCCATTTCAACAAATCTGTTTTTATATTTAAATTTTGATTATTTGCTCAGTGAAGGAAACAGATTTCTGGATATAGGAGCTCTATTTTCTTAGTCCTATTTTGGGAAAAAGCAATTTGAAGCTAAACAATATTGCCTTTGCACAAGTAAGCCAATCAGTAATTTCTCTCTATCATTTTCTTTTTGATTATGATTTCAAATTCAAGAAAACACACAAAACAAAATGCAGTGTGGATTTATTTTATTCACATGGTAAAGTATCACATATATTACAATTATTAATGATTTTAGGTTTTTATATTATTAATAAAGCACTTTGTTGATGATTTACTATGATATGACACTTTCCACATAATTCATTTGTGTAAATGGTAAGTATTAATCCACACAAAAAGGAAAGCATGGCACATGGAATTTTTATACTCTAATACCGAGTTTAGGTTTTATGATAAATGCTGTTTGGCTCTCTAAGTGCATTTTTTAAGCTATTAGTAGACATTTATAATTAATATGCAGTTGTATTTACCAAGAAGAAAACTTTATTTTAACTGGTAACAATTAATCATCTCAGAAATTGGTTCCCTATGTGATTTTTGTTGTTGTTGTCATTAATGAAATGTATTTATACGCAATAATGCTTTGGGGAGTCTCTGAACTAAGGAAGCTTAAAAGTTGTAAGTAACCTGTTAGAGTAGCTTAAATAGAAAAAGTGTTATTCTTCCTTTCTTTTCTCTTTTATTTTTCTTTTCACTTTTCTCTTTTTGGTTAGACTAGATGGGAATAACCGACCATACCTATATTTATATATATAAAAATTTATATTGAGATAGAATATATATATATATTAATTTGACTTCCAATTAAGTTTAAGCTTGAGATACATAACGTAATAATTTTATATTACTTCATATTACTTTATTTGAAAATAAGTCTATCGATTAATATTATTTAAAATTACATTTAGTTACATTATTTATACAGAAATTCACGTTTCTTTAATAATAAAAATATTGCATTCAGGTTTCTACAGCCTCCTATTCCACCCCCTTTCCTAGACACTATTAAAAATCTGTTGGATTTCACTTTAGAACTTTAACAATTTCAGGAATAACAAAATATGCCACCCTAAAATATACTTTTTGGGGATCTTTTGATATAACTATTTAGAGAGGATGCAGAGAGGGGAATAGCCCTGAAAAGCTGCCTCTTGTGCAGCAGATTTGCATTTGTGGGGATGCAAACAGGCTTCCTCTGAGGACTCCTTATCTGTTTATCTTGATGTAGGAGATACGTAAGTCACAGCAAAAAGAAACTAAAGGTCTGATTCTTTTAGTGGTCTGACAGAGGCTTTTACCACAGACTACTATCTACTATTTCTAAGGACATGCTCACCTCCTCTCACCTCCCATAACCTGTAGCCTCAGGACAGTTTGAAAACTTCGGTCACCTGGGCCCTCTTGGAGTCTTTTATTTAGTATGGCTCCTGTGCTTCTACCCATCAGTAAATTTTATGCCTTTTCTCCTGTTAACCTGCCTGTTGTCAGTTCATTTTCACAGACTCAAACCTTCAGAGGGGGAGGAAAAATTCTCTGCCCTTACACAATCCTGCACAGTATGTGCATATTTTTAGGTATAAGGATATAACGTAGATAGACCTAGTGCTGTCTTTCGGTTCTATGTTCTCTGATAATTTTTAAATTCAGCATCCATCATAGTAACTTGCCGTTTAGTATTATTTAGTCGTGAATTAATTCTATTTTCAAACTTTGTCGTTATTTTCATTTTTCATTTCAACAATTCCATGTTTGCTATTGTTCGAATGCTTGTGCCCCCCTCACCAAACTCCCCGAATTCGTGTTAGACTTCAAACCCCAAAGCAATAGCATTGAGAGGTATTGATATTGAGAAATGATTGAATCATGAGTGCTCCACCTTTGTGAATGGAATTAATGCAATTATAAAAGATCTTGACAGAGGAAATTTGCTCCTTTCTCATCCTTTGGGTTCCTTCACTATAGCAGGACACAGTGTTTCTCTCCTCAAGAAGATGCAGCAACAAGGCGCCATCTTGGAAGTGGATACTGGGCTCTCTCCAGACAGTGAACCTACCCTTATCTTGGACTCCCAGCCTCCAAAACTATAAGAAAATAAATTTCATTCTATATAAATTACTTAGCTTCAGATAATTTGTTACAACAGCACAAAACAAGACAAGTTTCAAATGCCAAAATCTCCAAAAACATATTATTGTGTGAGAATCTCAGCTTATTGGATGCAGTTCTTTCAAAGTATCTCTGAGAAATAAAAATGATACGCTTATTTTAAAGTTCTGATTATACTCTGATTCCTTGTTCTTTTTCAGGTAATTCAGTTTTCTTGTTGTATTCCTAATACATTATAAAATACATTTAAGATAGTAATCTTAATAACATGTTTGTTGATTTTTGAGTGTGCATAGACTTTCCAACACAATTCTCTGAGTCAGACCCTTGATAAAGGGACATTTTTCAAAGAGAGTTATAAAGTGAGTCTACTCTGCAAAAGGAAATTAGTGGGACTGCAAAAGGAAAATAGTGCTATGTGATTTAAATGCCCATATTTTAGTAGATACTTCTGACTGTCTTAGAAACAATAGTCTCTTGGGCAGTATGGCCATTTTCATGATATTGATTCTTCCTACCCATGAGCATGGAATGTTCTTCCATTTCTTTGTATCCTCTTTTATTTCATTGAGCAGTGGTTTTTAGTTCTCCTTGAAGAGATCCTTCATGTCCCTTGTAAGTTGGATTCCTAGGTATTTTATTCTCTTTGAAGCAATTGTGAATGGGAGTTCACTCATGATTTGGCTCTCCGTTTGTCTGTTATTGGTGTATAAGAATGCTTGTGATTTTTGTACATTGATTTTGTGTCCTGAGACTTTGCTGAAGTTGCTTATCAGCTTAAGGAGATTTTGGGCTGAGACAATGGGGTTTTCTAGATATACATCATGTCATCTGCAAACAGGGACAATTTGACTTCCTCTTTTCCTAATTGAATACCCTTTATTTCCTTCTCCTGCCTAATTGCCCTGGCCAGAACTTCCAACACTATGTTGAATAGGAGTGGTGAGAGAGGGCATCCCTGTTTTGTGCCGGTTTTCAAAGGGAACGCTTCCTGTTTTTGCCCATTCAGTATGATATTGGCAGTGGGTTTGTCATAGATAGCTCTTATTATTTTGCCATTCCCATCAAGCTACCAATGACTTTCTTCACAGAATTGGAAAAAACTACTTTAAAGTTCATATGGAACCAAAAAAGAGCCCGCATCGCCAAGTCAGTCCTAAGCCAAAAGAACAAAGCTGGAGACATCATGCTACCTGACTTCAAACTATACTACAAGGCTACAGTAACCAAAACAGCATGGCACTGGTACCAAAACAGAGATATAGATCAATGGAACAGAACAGAGCCGTCAGAAATAACGCCACATATCTACAACTATCTGATCTTTGACAAACCTGACAAAAACAAGAAATGGGGAAAGGATTTCCTATTTAACAAATGATGCTGGGAAAACTGGCTAGCCATATGTAGAAAGCTGAAACTGGATCCCTTCCTTACACCTTATACAAAAATGAATTCAAGATGGATTAAAGACTTAAACGTTAGACCTAAAACCATAAAAACCCTAGAAGAAAATCTAGGCATTACCATTCAGGACAAAAGCCAAAATTGATAAATGGGATCTAATTAAACTAAAGAGCTTCTGCACAGCAAAAGAAACTACCATCAGAGTCAACAGGCAACCTACAAAATGGGAGAAAATTTTCACAACCTACTCATCTGACAAAGGGCTAATATCCAGAATCTACAATGAACTCAAACAAATTTACAAGAAAAAACCAAACAACCCCATCAAAAAGTGGGCGAAGGACATGAACAGACACTTCTCAAAAGAAGACATTTATGCAGCCAAAAAACACATGAAAAAATGCTCACCGTCACTGGCCATCAGAGAAATGCAAATCAAAACCACAATGAGATACCATCTCACACCAGTTAGAATGGCAATCATTAAAAAGTCAGGAAACAACAGGTGCTGGAGAGGATGTGGAGAAATAGGAACACTTTTACACTGTTGGTGGGACTGTAAACTAGTTCAACCATTGTGGAAGTCAGTGTGGCAATTCCTCAGGGATCTAGAACTAGAAATACCATTTGACCCAGCCATCCCATTACTGGGTATGTACCCAAAGGACTACAAATCATGCTGCTATAAAGACACATGCACACGTATGTTTATTGCGGCACTATTCACAATAGCAAAGACTTGGAACCAACCCAAATGTCCAACAATAATAGACTGGATTAAGAAAATGTGGCACATATACACCATGGAATACTATGCAGCCATAAAAAATGATGAGTTCATATCCTTTGTAGGGACATGGATGAAATTGGAAATCATTCTCAGTAAACTATCAGAAGGACAAAAAACCAAACACCACATGTTCTCACTCATAGGTGGGAACTGAACAATAAGAACACATGGACACAGGAAGGGGAACATCACACTCTGGGGAGTGTTGTGGGGTGGGGGGAGGGGGAAGGGATAGCATTAGGAGATATACCTAATGCTAAATGACGAGTTAATGGGTGCAGCACACCAGCATGGCACATGTATACATATGTAACTAACCTGAACATTGTGCACATGTACCCTAAAACTTAAAGTATAATAATAATAAAATTAAATTAAATTAAAAAAAGAAACAATAGTCTCACTTTAATTATTATGAGTCACTACTGAAAGAACAAAGAGATAAAACAAAAGAGGTATGTTCCCACAGAATGAGGGCCTAATAACAATTGACTGAATTTTTGCACTGGATAAAACCTACAAAATTTGCTTGAGAAATCCTTTAGCAGTAAATCAGGCCATACTCAAAAATTCACCTCATAGCAATACACTCCATATTAATATTGGTAGAATCAATTTATCATCAGGTAAACATTATCAGTTTCACTAATTTGAGATAAATTTTGCTTTATAGTTCATTGTGAAATATGTTTTAATTTTAAAGTCACACAGAATTAAAACCTCAAAAATTATGTTCTTAGTTTTATTATTGGGTATGTCAAAATAATATAAGAAAAATAATTTAATACTCAGTTTCCATGAAATAATTTTTATCTTCACTTTAAATGAGGCTACAGTTTGAGAACTACTGAAAAAAATATAAAGCTAGTTTAAAAGACTTTTAGCTAAGATAAAGAGGTATTTTCTGGGAAAACTTTATGCACTGTGTAGAATAAATTAGATATTCCTGGAATTTGTCACAAATTGTACATTACTTTGTTTGATATAGCATTAATCATACATCGTAGCAATTTCCTCTCTCTTTTTCTGCCATCATTAGTAGTATAATAGAGCAAATACCATATCTGTATTGTTTATTACTTAGTTCTTTATATTCTAGCACATATAACTGCTCAGAAAACATTGTTGCATGAATACATAATTTGAAATGTTTTCTATTGGTATTTTAACTAATATAATAACATGGCTTTTACATACTTTGAATATTAAAACAATACAAATACAATATTCCTCCTGCATTTAAAGCACTACAGGTTCAATTACTTTAACATTTCTCTCTTAATTAAATAGTGAATGAAGGATACAAATGTCCTCTAATAGGGCCAAATTGCACCTAATGGAAAAACATGGGCTTTTGAGTCAAATGCCCTAAAGAAAAGGAAACAAGTTTTCACAACATGGATTAAATGTGTAACCCATCTCAGCCTTAATGATTTGCTGCAACTTGCACAATTTGTTGTTTATAGTTGTTTTCTTGCCTAAGACTAGTTTGTTCTGAGATACTCAACTTTTTTACACAGGTGCGTCTATCTGGGTTTCATTGATATTAACAATTCAATCATATTGATTTGAATTTTGCTTCAACACATTCGTAAAGGATTTCTTCTGACCATTTGTTGTACTATTAGTTTTCTTCAGTTACTTATACATATGTTGCCTTAGAATCTTACTGCCATCAATATTTTTTCACATGACTAGGCTTTCAGAACAAGATAAAATGAAACTGACTCAGATATTTAGAATTTGAGAATACACATAACTGTATTCTCCGAGACTTTGTCAACATATATTTCTTCAGAAAAATAAATTTCATATTTTTTTACGGAAAGCTAACTTAAGAATGGAAGGGATCAACTTCAGATTATACAAATATTACAAAATGGAAAGTATTGTTATTGCTGCATAATCACTATCTTCATCATAGCTTACATCTGTGTAGTATTTTATAAGTTTATTACGTTTTAAAATTGATAACGTAACTTTTTCGGAGACTAGGTTACTTGCTTAGTACCAATTAGCTACCAAGAAGAAAATCTGGAATTAGAACAGAAGAATTTAAACTCAGGGTTTGACTGCTACATGTCATTGACATCTGGAATTTTAAAACAGCATGATATACCAACCATTATTCTAAAGCATCAGAATTTGCAATTCATTTCTAAGGAATTGTATAATCCCTGTATGCCATCAGTAGGATATAAAATTATATTGAAAATGTTTTAAAATACAGTAATATTTCTTCTTTTATGGTTCACTAATATGATTTAGTAAATGCCTAGTGACTAAACAAATAATACATGAATAAAAGTGAATGAACTCACTGGAGTTAATTGTGAATATACCACCTAAAAAAGAATTGTATTATACTATAACTCTAAGTATTATAACATTCAGTGATCTTTAAGTAAATATGTACTATTTTATAATAAGAAAACATAATAAAGATTAATGCAAACTTGATAATGCATTGGAATTTTTTTAAGTACTATAAGGGACTAATAAAATGTTATGCTCTGTAGGGTAGAATATTCTTCCAGTTTTCTTGAACTTGAGATTTATAAAATACAACATATACAAATGGCTTAGGAAAGATATTCTTAGTTATTATTCAATTAGACTCAGGTGTAACCCAATAGATTCAGGGACTTCAACAGCACTTCCTGATGGAAAAGAAGAGGAAGCAGAAACATTCTGTAGAAACTGGTATGCTACTAGAAAGCAAACTAAATGCAAACAACAGTCTTATCCACAGTAGTATAAGATGGCAGATAACATAAGGCATTTTTCTAGCAAGTGTGTTATATATATATTATTTCAGTCTATTATGACTAGTGGATAATAAAATAAAAGGTATACTTACTCAACATTATATCTTGTCTTTTTTTAAAAATATAATTAAATTATTATATTAGAATAATGGGCAGCATCTTATTCATATTATTTATATACCAGATGCCTTTAATATAACAAATATCAAAATAAATAACTTAGGCTGTAGTTTTAGTCTGTCCAAGCTGCTGTAACAAAATACCATAAACTGAGTAGCTTATAAACAACAAAAATGTATTTCCCACAGTTCTGGAGGCTCAGAAGTTCAAGAACAAGGTGTGAGCAGATTCAATGTCTTGTGAGGGCCAGTTCCTTATAAACCACACCTTCTTCCTATGTCCTTACATAGTGGAAGAGACAAATAAGTTTCCTCAGGCCTCTTTTGTAAGGACACTAATTGCCTTTGTGAGGGCACTGCCCTCATGACCTAATGACCTCCCAAAGGCTCTGCCTCCTAATGCCATCAACTTGGGATTTAATATTTCAACAAAGAGATTTTGGTAGGCTATAAACATTGTCTATTGCAGGTGTAATTTTATTCTTCCTCCCATATTTTTAAAGGAGATTTGGGGATTTTAGGAGCTATTATCGTGGAAAGGAGAAAAACAAATTTGAACTTTAATCATTTATTTTGTTTTGATGTGTTTTCAGAAAGTGATATTCAAGTGGATATTGCAAGCATTAACTTAATTACTCATCCCATAATTTTGAACAATCAGATATACCAGGTAGTATGGCTCTTGAAATTTTGCAGAAAACAATTTGAATATTGTATTTATTAAAGATATATGGCATGATATACACATTTTTATACATAAGATGTATGGTAGGCAGGATCCTAAGAATGGCCACCATTGTGCCTTGCCCTTGTATAACCCTGTCATATTTGAGTTTGTGTAGAATCTGTGCATATCATATCAGTTTAAAATGTCACTTAATGATTTCTGCCACTTTGCATGGCATGCAAGAGTGCATCTAGGTTGGCCTAATCAAATAAAACAAGCCCTTTAAAAGAAACAATATTTTCTGTTGAGTCGCAGAAAAGGAAGTAAGGAAGTTTTGAAGTATAAGGATTGGCCATGCTATTGATAGTTTTGAATGGCTAATTGTGAATATTGCGGCAGCGGGGGGCGGTCACCCACACGGAATTCAGACTTCTTCTAGAAGGTAAGAATGGTCCGTAGCTGACAATAACAAAGAAATGGGGACCTTAGTCTTAACACTTCAAGGAACAGAACTTGGCCATTAACTTGAATACAACTAGAAGTGGATTCTTCCCTCGAGTTCCCACAGAGCCCATCTGGCTGGCCTGGGTTATTGGAATTGTGAAATCCTCTGCAGAGAACCTAGTCAAGCCCATCTGGACTTCTGACCTAAGGAAATGTGAACTGATAAGTGAATATTATTTTACTAAATATGTAGTAATATGTTACATAGCATTAGGAAGATAATATATAATGCAAGACTTTTTTCCTTTTTTTAGACAAGATCTCATTTGTCACACAGGCTGGAGTGCAATGGTGCAGTCACAGCTCACTGCAGCTTTGACCTCTGGAGCTCAGACTCTTGGGTTGCTGGACTACAGGTGCATGCCACCATGCCAGGCTAATTTTTTGTAGTTTTGTAGAGATGGGGTTTCACTATGCTGCACAGGCTGGTCTCAAACTCCTGGGCTCAAGCAATCCACCAACCTCAGCCTCCCAAAGGGCTTACATTACAGGCATGAGTCACTGTGCTTGGCCCAACATTTTATTTTTCTTTTTACTGTGACCTTTATGGTGAAAATGTCATTTTGCATGGATTTATATTATGACATACATAAATACATTTCGTATGAATGTCAATACATATAGTTTTTATTCTGCTTTGGCACTTTGCTTTTTTTTTTTTTTTTTTTTTTGAGACGGAGTCTCGCTCTGTCGCCCAGGCTGGAGTGCAGTGGCGGGATCTCGGCTCACTGCAAGCTCCGCCTCCCGGGTTCACGCCATTCTCCTGCCTCAGCCTCCCAAGTAGCTGGGACTACAGGCGCCCGCCACTACGCCCGGCTAATTTTTTGTATTTTTAGTAGAGACGGGGTTTCACCGTTTTAGCCGGGATGGTCTCGATCTCCTGACCTCGTGATCCGCCCGCCTCGGCCTCCCAAAGTGCTGGGATTACAGGCGTGAGCCACCGCGCCCGGCCGCTTTTTTGATTAATACTGGTTAATAAGAAAAATATGATACAGTCTAGTGAATACAGTAAGCTCATATGAGTCAGTTATAAGACTTGCCAAAGTCACTAAGTCTATCACAATAGAAGTTTATTATATAGGTCTCCGATGCTCCATTAAAAAAAAAAAAGACATATCTGTCTCACTTCTCTACCTGTGAGATCCAGAAATGAGAGAGCCAGTGGAATGTATAGAATGTGTTGTATTCCCTTTTAGTGCTTAAGTAAGAATTAAAATTATTCAGCATTTGGATCAACAGTTATCAGTTAGCACAGAGTCTTTATCTTAATTGTCCTCAAAAAGTCTAGGTACTTTTCTTTCCTCAGTGTACTTTTGTACTTCACTGACTTCCTGGAAAACAGACTCTGAGGCAAAGATTTGTATGAAGGATGTGTTTTTGCCTTTTAGAAATATATAAAACATGGTGAGGAAAACAGGAATATAACTGGTCAGAAGAATAAGAAGAAATATAATTCAGTTGCCCTAAAAGCCTCAGCTGTAAGTAAGGTAGCTCTGACATGAGGATGACTCTTCAGAGTTAATTTAAATATAAACAAAGGGCCAAGTACAACACATTGACCAGTCCCTGGGTGTGGGCTACTACCAGAGAAGGAACATAACTTTAAACAATCAGCTTCCTTGACCAAAGACAATTAAGAAGTTCCAGAGAGGTACTCAGCTGCGAGGCATTAGAAACCAACTCTCCTGGCCAGGCGCGGTGGCTCAAGCCTGTAATCCCGACACTTTGGCAGGCCGAGGCAGGTGGATCACAAGGTCAGGAGTTTGAGACCAGCCTGGCCCACATGGCGAAACCCTCGACCCTACTAAAAATAAAACAATTAGCTGGGTATGGTGGCAGGCGCCTGTAATCCCAGCTACTAGGGAGGCTGAGGCAGGAGAATCACTTGAACTCGGGAGGAGGAGGCTGCAGTGAGCTGAGATCGTGCCACTGTACTTCAGCCTGGGTGACAGAGCAAGGCTCTGTCTCAAAAATAAAAAGAAGATGCCAACTCTCCTGGCATCTGGAGAAATGAGGATGTGAGTTCTAAAAGGGACATCTGGGCAGCACATCAGAATCTATTACCTCCTAAATGTGGCTGCTGGTCCATCTGGTATAGGACTGGAAGGTATTGTATACACGTGTAGTAATAGTGCTAGGTTTTTTTCTCAAGTACATCCAGCCTTACCTTTTATGAGTGGGCTTTGGGTTTGAGAATTGATTTAGTTTTAGAAACTCACTGAGGTAAACAACATTTTTGTAAATGCCTCCTCCACTCTCCAAATATCTGTCCTTATCCTCAAACCTTGTAAATATAAAAAGACATCACTTCCACAATTGTTTTATGTTGTACGGAACAATAGGCCTTTAGATAGGGCAACTATCCAGGTGAGCTGGGTATAGTTACATGAGATCTTAAATACAGAGAGATTTCTCTGGCTGTCGGCAGAAAGGAAAGCCTGAGAAAATGGAAGGGTGAGAAGAATTCAATAAACTCTTCCTGGCTTTGAGATAAAAGGGGCAAATGAATAGAAATTTGGGCAACCTTTAAGAGAAAAGCAACCTATCATTAACACCAGCAAGTAAATGGGAACCACAGATGTACAATCACAAAGAATTGAGTTCTTCAAACCAACTGAAGGAGTTTAGGAAGAGATTCCTTCTAAGTTTCCTGAGAGAAGAGCTCAATATGGCCAATGCCTTAAACTTTGGTCTTGTAATATCCAAAGAAGAGAACTTGGCTGAGTCCTCCTGGATTTCTCACCAACAGAATTGTGAGGTAATAAACAGGTGTTTAGGTAGTTGTATTTGTAGTGATTTGTGATGGCAGCAATAGGAAATTAATACTCTGAGCAAGGAAATTAATTTTTTCATTGTGGTGGTTAAAGTTAGTCATCTTCCTGCCACCTTTTAAATGTTTTAAATATACAAAGTAAGCAACATTAGTTAACTGCACATCTACTTTTCCCTAGGCCTATAATAAGTTTTAATCCACTCACATATATATTCCTTTGGATGAAGGGACTCTTACTGCAACCCCAGTGCTGATGCACCTCACACAAACTAACTTCAGCTAGTCTTTGATTATTAAATTCTTTAATTGTGCTCTCTCACTTTAGAATCCCATTAACCTCGGTTATATAAGAAAGATATGTCAGTAACAGGAAGCATTTTCATGCTAGCCCAGCCATCATTGAGGTTTGCAAAGATATCGGTGCCACATTTACACATGTATTCACCATGGACTAATAAGGGAATATCTTCTGGGCCCTCTCAGGTAATCTAATCAGGTGGTGGTTTCTCAGATTTATTAGAACATTCCCACTTACCTGACCCTTTGATTCCTTCCTTAAGTCAGTGTCAAAGAAGTTTCAGCACACTATCAGCAATCATTGTTTTCAGTCTTCAAGGAGCCATCCCTGCAAACACAGAAGAAGGGCTGTGAGTGTCCTTGCCAGAACATTGACTTCTAAATCATAAGTGATTGCCCCCATGTCAAAAAATACTTTCTTTTTAACCTTATACGATTCTTTTCCTTATTATTCTAAAACCCCCAAGATACATTTTCATACACGTGGTAAAAATACACATTAAATAATTCTGCGATCTCCTTGTCATAGAGCTTTGTGTGTGTGTGTGTGTGTGTGTGTGTGTGTGTGTGTGTGTAAATGTGAAAGCAGACCTTGTTTGTATGCTCATCCTCTGAAGACAACTAACTCTTTTTTGCCTTGGAGTCAATGAGAGATGTTTAAACAATCTTGAATAAAAGCGTGTTGTTTCAAACCAGCCTCAGGTAAGGTATTATAAATTCCTAACAAACGTTAAGTGATTTTTCTTTCATGTTAAGAAACACATCAATTTGGTGATTTTTCTCTCATCATGAGAAACACACCAATTTGGTTGGCCAGGTTGCCCCAAGAAAATTTGGGAATTCAAGATATTGAGTCTCATCCACACTAATACTGCCATTCTTGGTCTCATGACCACATTTTCTGTTCCATTAGAACTCAGATTGACTCAGAATATCCGAATTTTTGAAATAATTTTTATTGATACATAATAGATGTCTATAGTTTCTGAATATATGTAATGATTTAATGTGTTTATATAATTTGTAAGATCAAATCAGTGTGCCTGGAATATTCATCGCCTTAAATATTTGTCTTTTTGCTACAATCATTTGTTATCTTCCTGCTATGTTGAAATGTACAATCGTTATAAACTATAGTCACCTTACTTATCTATCAAACAGTTGATCTTATTTCTTCTTCCAACTGTATGTTTGTACCCATGAATCAACTCCTCTCCATTTCCTCTCCCACATGCCCTTTCCAGCCTCTGGGATCCCACACATGGATGAGACCTTGCAATAGCTGTCCTTCTTTGCTTGGCATATTTCAATTTACATAATGATCTCAATTTCCATTCATGCTCCTGCAAATAACCAAATTTTATTATTTTTATGTCTAATATTCCATTGTATGTGTATATATATAGATAGATATCATATCTATTTATTCATTTATACATTGGTGGATAAAGCAGCCAAACTAAAAAGATAAATGCCTTCAAAGAAGCTGAGACTGATGATGGACTTGTGAATTAAAACTATGAAAAACAGAATGCAACAGGGTAATATATTTTTTAAAATAACCAAAGCACAATTAAACAATAAAAAACTCTGTTGATGGGATTTCATAATTTTTTATGACAGAATAATATTCCATTATGTTTTTTTGTTGTTGCTGTTTATCCATTCATTCTTGAGGAACATTTAGGTTGTTTCCAGATTTTAACTATTGTGAATAGTGCTATGATAAACATGGGAGTGCAAAGATCCCTTATATTTTTTTCCTTTCTTTGAAGACATTTATATCTGTGTATAGATATAGATATATATTTAGTGTATATATACACACACTAAATATATATATCTTTTTACATTGTTGGTAGAAATGTAAATTAGTACATGAAGGTTCATGTACTAATACATAGAGCTACCATATGACAGAGCAATTCCACTACTGCATATATATAAATATATATACTAAATATAAATATATTTATATATATTTATATAAATTATATATTTACATATATTTATATAAATTATTTATATATTTATATATTTATATAAATTACTTACATATTTATATATTTATATAAATTATTTACATATTTATATATATTTATATAAATTATTTACATATTTATATTTATATAAATTGTTTACATATTTATATATAAATTATTTACATATTTTTATATATAAATTATTTACATATTTATATATATAAATTATTTACATATTTATATATATAAATTATTTACATATTTTTATATATAAATTATTTACATATTTATATATATAAATTATTTACATATTTATATTTATATAAATTATTTACATATTTATATCTATAAATTATTTACATATTTATATCTATAAATTATTTACATATTTATATCTATAAATTATTTACATATTTATATCTATAAATTATTTACATTTTATATATATATAAATTATTTACATATTTATATATGTATATAAATTATTTACATATTTATATTTATTTATATAAATTATTTACATATTTATATTCATAGAAATTATTTACATATTTATATTTATTTATATAAATTATTTACATATTTATATATTTATATATTTTTTCATACATTTTTATATATTATATATTATTTATATTTAATAAAATATATATTTTTATTTATATATTTATTTATACATATATTTATAAATTTATTGATATATATTATTTATATATATTTATTTATTCAATAAAATAATATACATTAAATATTAATATATACATTTTTATATATATTTTATATTTAATATATAATTGCTGTGTCATATGGTAGCTCTATAGTATATATAAATATATATAATAAATATAAATATAATATATTTATATTTATTATATATATTTATATATATAAATCATGTCATATATAGTTACATATATATTTATGTATATGTATTTAGTCTATATAAATATATATATTTAGTATATATACACAGGCTAAATACACATATTTAGTGTATATATATATTCAGTAGTGGAATATATATATATTCTGTAGTGGAATATATATATATTCTGTAGTGGAATTGCTGTGAATATATATTCAGTAGTGGAATTGCTGTGTCATGTGGTAGCTCTATGTATTAGTACATGAACCTTCATACTAATTTACATTCCCACCAACAATGTAAAAAATTTATCCTTTATTTGTGTCATATGGTAGCTCTATGTATTAGTACATGAAACTTCATGTACTAATTTACATTCCCACCAACAATTTAAAAAAGTTATCCTTTATACACAGTCTCATCATCATCCATTATTGCCCATCTTTTTTATTAAAGCCATTTTAACTGGAGCGAGATTATATCTCATTGTGGTTTTGATGTGTATTTCCCTAATGATTAGTGATGTTTAGCATTTTTTCTACATTCTTGGCTCTTTGAATGTCTAAAAGTCCTGGCCAAAGCAATAAAGCAAGAGAAAGAAATAAAGGGCATTGGAATTATAAAGGAAGAAGTCAAATTAGCCTTGTTTAGAGACGACATGATTTTTTACTTAGAAAAACCTAAAAGGTCCACCAAAAAAAAAAAATAGTGTGAGAACTAATAAGGAATTTCAGTAAAGTTTCAGGATACAAAATCACCTTACAAAAACAAGTCACATTTCAATATATCTACAGGTATCTGAAAAGGAAATCAAGAAAATAATTTCATTTACAATAACTATAAAGATTATAAAATACCTAGGAATCAATTTAACTAAAGAAGCAAATAGTCTACAGGGAAACTACAAAATACTGATTAAAAAAATTGAAGAGGACACAAAAAATGATAAAAATATCCCATGCTTATGTACTAGAAGGATTAATGTGGTTAAAATGGCAATACTACTCAAAGCAATTTACAGATTCAGTGCAATCCCTGTCAAAATCCAATTACATTCTTCACATACATACAGAAAAACAATCTAAAATTTGTATGGACCACAAAAGACTCTGTGTAATCAAAACAATCCTGAGATAAAAAAGAACAAAGCTGGAGGCATGGCACTACCTGACTTCAAAATCTTCTTCCAAGATATAGTAGCCAAATCAGCATGCTACTGGCATAAAAACAGACACACAGAACCTCCGAACAGAAGAGAGAACACAGATTCAAATCCTCCCACTTACAGCCAACTCATATTTGACAAAGGTGCCAATAATGTACAGAAAGCAAAGCATAGTCTCTTCAATAAATTGTGCTGGGAGAGCTAGAGAAGTATACACTGAAGAATGAAACTAGAGCCCTATCTCTCACCATACATAAAAATCAAATCAAAATGGATTAAAGGGTTAAATTTAAGCCATCAAACTATGAAACTACTAGAATAAAACTTCGGGAAAATGCTCCAGGACATTGGTTTAGACAAAGGATTTTGTGTAAGACCTCAAAAGCACAGGCTACCAAAGCAAAAATGGACAAATGAGATTACATCAAGCTAAAAAGCTTTTGCACAGCAAACAATCAACAAAGTGAAGAAACAACCCACAGAATAAGAGAAAATATTTGCAAACTATCCATCTGAAAAAGAGTTAATAACCAGAATATATAAGAGGCTCAAACAACTCAATAACAAAACAACAACAAACAAACAAAAAACTTACAAATTGAAAAATGAGCAAATGATTTGAATATAAATTTTTGCAAAAAAAGACATACAAATGGCCATCAGGATACTTGATTTGGCTGCAATTAGTATTCTTTGCTGTTTCCTTCCCTCTAACATTCCCATTTAAAGCCAGCCTTCAGTAGTTTTTCCTACAACTTTAGTATTATTTAAAGTGGCCATATAGATTTTTCTGGCTTTCTAGCCTTTACAGTGTAAGTTGTCTTATAGCTGTCTGAGCTTTTTTTATTTTTAACAAGCTTGTGAATTCTGTCGAAAACAGCTACATCACACCACAGTCTATCATTATCATTATCATTGTTCCAGTGATTGCTGCCTTCATATCCTCCCAAACAGGCATCTATGAAAGCACAATCTCACAAACCATGAGAAAGAAGGTCCCAATTCCCCTGTTCTCCCAAGTTGGGAAACTCTTCAACTTCAAACTTGTATCATAAGACTTTATTTTTCCTGTGGTCATCGCCACAATTAATTATCTTTATATTATGTGTTAACAATTTATTTGTTATCTTATGTGTTAACAATTTATTTGATGATACAAACCAAGGGAAGCAAGCAGGAGGGGAAAAATAAATTTAGATCAGGTAGAAGAGAAGGAAATTTCAAAATTCCTGGCCATAGCCCAAATGAAAATTGTAAATGACCAGAAAAATGGGATTTCTCACTCGCTGATTGCTCTCATTGAGCAGATCATGCAGAGTTACTGTTTCTTGTCTATTAGAGGAAAAGATGGTAAAGTAACAGAAAGTAATATATGCACAGATTCCTTTTATTTTCCTTTTTAGTAAAAATTCACCACAAACAGCATTAGTTCCTCAGCATTGCTGTGTTGTAACCCTACCCTTTTGAGAGACTATGGAGATGTCCAGGAGCAAGGCAAATAGGTCATCTGATTCTAATAGTGTTAGACAGAGACAGAGACTCAGTGGGACTGGTCAGAGCTGACATGGGTTCAGAAGCCCCTTTTCAAGCAGGTTAGATAAAAGGATAGAAACCTTCCACCTAAAGAAATTGAGAGTGTTGAGTGCATTTTAGAAAATCATCCAATGGGTCACATGGAGTATATTTCTTGCAGAGACTCTTACTGCACACCTAGCTATCAGGGGGCTGCCACTTCTGCATCTGGCTGCTTGTATAGGGAAAAGCAGTGGATGCTGAATGGATCTTGCCCCTGCACACTGGCTTCAAAAGTGACAGTGCACATGTCTGCAAATTCACATAAATCACATCATCGAGTCTTTCATAGGACTTACATTTTCAGAAACATCAGAGTAATCACTTAAAAATGCAATTCAGATTACATACTAACAATGCTCAGTTTCTACAATGGCTTCCAACTTACTGGGGAAATTATTTTAAAATTCTTACCCTTGCCTCAAGACTTTATCTGTTCTGACTTCTGTCACTATGATTGTCTTGAATACACTCCTCCCTTCTCAACTATGGTCAAGCCCATTTTCCTTTAAATTTCCTTAAAAATTTCTAGTTGCTGTTTATCTCGGGACTCACAATTTATTTCTCAAGGTATTCTCCCTCACTTGGTGCAGGGCTCTGAGGCACTGTCGCATCTGCAGGAGAATTTCCCTGATGACCAAATCCTATCATTTATACTTGCATGTGGCTTTTTTTCCTCAAAATAATTATCTGATCCGAAGTTATAATTATGTATTTAGCTCTTGGCTTATTTATGGCCTCTTTATCTCTTAACAGTAAAAGTATCCTGTGTGTCTTGTTTTTTTTATTTGTCTTTTTCTTTTCTTATTTGGCTAAATCTCCAACGTCTAGTAGAGTTTCTGGCACATAGCGGGTGTACATTAAACATTTATGCATGAATGGGTAAAGGAAAGAATAAATGGTTGATTAAACATCAACCTAAAAAAAACCATTATTATTTTCAGATATTAAATGTCACTGTAGTGTTAAAAAAACCTATTTAATGTCACTAAAATTTAGTAAAGATATTTATTTACAGTCCTGATAATGTGTTCAAATAATTAAAGGGATAGGTAGCTTGTCTATTAGAAAGCTCTGGAAAATCATTGTGTTAAATTAAGAGGTCATAAATTATTTTCACTGAGTCAATTGGCATATACTCGAGAAAAATGTTAAAGGCCTGTTTTGATATGTACAAGTCCCTTGTCATGGTTAATGAGACTTCATATTATTTTCTCTGACTTTTAACCATACCTGAAACTAATGAGGAACATAATTATGTAAATATAAACTATTATTGCATTTAAGATTAAAAGGATTCACTACAATGAAGTTTAAACTGAATTTTTACTCATCTTTATTTTTCTTTGTGTGAACAATTAATAAATATATTAATATTTTTATTAATTCTCAACAAATCCCTCCTAAACATTATTTGCAAACTATATCATCCTGTCCTTTAACTCAATCTCTTTTTCAATTTTTTTAAATTAAATTATTGTTATTCTCTATTGGAGTTTTCATAGAATACATTCAGATACAATCTACTATACTATTACTATATTGAATATAACTATTCAAAATGATGGAATGCCAAATGAATACATTTGAGTGTGTGTTCTTTAAACTCATAAAAAATTAATGAAAGGTCTCAGTTACAGTGATTTTTTTCAAATGAGGATTGGTGATCTGCTTTCATATCTTATCAGATTAAAAATACTTTTCATGGGTTTACCTTATTAATTAATTTATTGGTTGGTCCATTAATTTCTGTCTCTCTACATAAACTTATTTAAAGTGGTTTATACTATTTTGCATGATAAAATGAAGAAAATAAAATCAAATTATAAAATCAGATTTAGGAAAAGGGAAAAGTATAATATCAAAAAGTAAGTTAGAAAAATGTAATTCTTAAAGATGTTGTCATAGTTTGTATGGGTTGCTATAACGAAATACAAGAGATAGTATGGCTTATAAATAACAAACATTTATTCCTCATATTTCTGGGAGCTGGGAAGTCTAAGACCAAAGTGCTGCAGATTTAGTGCATGGTGTATGGTGAGGGCCTACTTCTTGGTTCATAGACTGGTCTTTTCCTTATGTCCTCACATGATGGAAGAGGCAAGGAATCTCTTCAGGTCTGTCTTATGAGGGTACTTCTGCCATTCATGAGGGCTCTACCTTCAAAACCTGATCACCTCCCTGAACTCCATCTCCTAATGCTATCACTTTAGGGGTTAGGGTTTCAACACATAAATTTGGGAGGGACAAAAACATTCAGTGTATTACATGTGTGTTTCTTAGCTTCCAAAGGGAAATATAACCCCTCCTTCAAAAAATTCATTTACTTCGACAGAAAGAATCATTTATTTCCACAGAAAAAGCAACACTGTTTTGCACAGTATTTCAAGAGAAAGTTCTCAGGTGAATATTTAGTCGGAATATTTGTAAGACTCAGAAATATTTGTAAAATATTTTAATGACTTTATATAATGACTACTGTAGAAAGATGAAGTTATAACATAAAAATGCAACAACAAATTGTGAAATTGTATGATATGATATGTAAACAAAAAGTTTCTGATAGGCTGATGTATAGCAGCATAGAATTTATAGTATTATGAATTGTAGATGCAATGTGTAATTTTCAAAGTTATTCAGCTAATAAATAGTATAACTGAGAGAGTATCAGATAGGGAATGCCAAATTTAGGGATGAAGACTTTGCTCTCTGACATTGCTAATCCCAAGGATTTTACAAATGATAACATCATACTATGTATTTTAGACAGATTTTCATTTTTCAAAGAAAACCAAAAGCATACTACTTAATTTAGTATTTGTACTGTTTTATATATTTTTTTACCATTGGTATTTTTATAACATCATAAAACACTATATCTAAATCTAAAATGTGTGTGTGTGTGTGTGTGTGTGTGTGTGTGTGTATTTAGCTTAGTGTGTAGCTATATTTCCTATGTCAAGATTTGTTGTGTGTCTTCTTTGGGCATAAACTGCACAATTTATATGTAAATTTAAGAGATTTGGAGATTATCCTATTTCATGTTTAAAATAATTGTATCAAATGCAGATAAAATATCCACATATTCTGATTGTTAACTATTCCATTTCACAATCCGCATACACAGATTAAAATATTGAAGAATTCCAGCACCTAAATGAAAAATATGTAGCATGAAAATCTCCTCCCCCATAGTACAAAGAAAGTGCCTTATACCCTTGTTTTGTTTGCTTCTTTGTTTGGTTGTTTATTTGCTTTAAGGAAACATTTCACCAAATATCTGACATTAAATAAATAAATACAGATATATGTAAAGATAATTGCTATTAACCTTTCAGATAAATTTTGCTGATAACAAAATTGTTGGAGAGATTTTAAATAAAGTATTTACTTAAAACATATTACCTTTTTATTATATGTGCTTTGAACACAGAAATGTATATAATTTCAAGAATAATGTCAGTAGTGAAGAAAATGACAGAAGCTTTTAACAACCGTGAGTAACTTAGGGTAAACATAAACATTATTTCTGGATTGATACGGTATGAAAATGAATCTTTTGAGCAGAAATCTCCATATTTTCAGACTCCTAAGGAGTTTAGATTAAAGTTCAAGACCTTATAAACATGCCTGAAATTATATTTTTAAAAATGATTGGCTAAAAAATTAAAAGAAACATTTAAGTACTTCCGTGGAGCAGCAGAATAGAATCTTAATACAGAAACCTCATAACTTTCAGGTAGCATCAGATTTTTCTGATTCATTGGAAGCAGTGGGGAGCAAAACTTCCAGGAGACAAACTGCAGCTTTGGCAACAGTGTCCCAGAGTGTATTGCAAATAATGTCTGAAATGCAGGGCAAGCATCACTAATCCAAAAATTTGAAATCCAAAGTGCTCCCAAACTTAAAACTTTCTGAGCACCAACATAAAACATGAAAGAAGTACTTATCGGAGCATTTCCAATGTAAGATTATTGGATTAGAGATGCTCAACTGTTAAGTATAATGCAAATATTCCAAAATCCAAGGAAGTCCAAAACCTGAAACACTTCTTATCCCAAGTATTTTGAATAAGAAATAACCTCTATTTACTTTCTTAAAATGGGCAAATGCACCTTTCCTTTTCATAACCCCTTTTGAAGAATCTCTCCAAAAACAAAAGATTATAATAGAGTTTCCTCTTCAGTGCACTGTGAAACATGACAAAGAATTGGAAATAAATGAACAGCTAAAGATATAAAAAAATACTTTTATCTAAGACAACAGAAAGTTATAGGATAACTAATATGTCCTTAAAACCTAATCTCACATTTTAATATGTTTTTAAATAGAAACATAGACAAATTACTTTCCCAGTTGCTAAATTAATAAAGTTGTACTTGACTATTCCACAGATAAATCAGAATGAGGAAAGAAAAAGGTATACACATTAAACGAGAAACCATTTATAAGAAATGGCAAGTTTTAATAAAGAGATTACTCTATATCATGTTTAAAATATTTGTATTAAAATGCAAGTAAAATATCCACATACGCTGATTGTAACTATTCCATTCCACCAATGAAATATCCTAGTTATCCCATTTCAAACCAAACTTAGAATCAGTGTTCTTACTTTTTTAAGTGATACTTCTAAAATTATAACGTACCAATTGTCATGCAAAATCTTATTAAAATGTAACCAAGTTTTGCAGGGATGGTGTGGAGCCTGTGCATCCCAATTTCTAACAAATTCCCAGGTAATTTCAAAACAGGCTTTTCTCCAGAATGCACTGAGTAGGAAGGCTTTATCAAAAGGGTCCCAATGGGTATGAAAGAGCACTCTGGGATGCCTCTAATAGATCCTCACCTAGTGATCCCATTTGCTGTCAGTGTGTCTGGGTAACCCTGGAGACAGCCAGACCCAGCCTGATTTCTTCCAGTTACATAAAGTGTATCCATTTTTACAATGTGTTCTGGCATAAAAAGGGTCCGACACACTGCTTTGTCCAACGCATAGTATATAGGCAAGGACAGAAAAATTCCATTTGTTAATACTGACATAATATTTTAAGAGAACCCTTATAAATTAATGGTTTTCCCCTAAAATATTTTTAATTAAAACATGTCAACAATATCTTTAATATTGGCTTATTTGGCTTTTTTTTTTTTTTTTTTTCCTGAGACAGAGTCTTGCTCTGTAGCCCGGGCTGAGTGCAGTGGTGCAATCTCAGCCCACTACAGCCTCCACCTCCTGGGTTCAAGAGATTCTCCCACCTCAGCCTTGCGAGTAGCTGGGATCACAGGCACACACCACCACGCCCTACTAATTTTTGTATTTTTAGTAGAGATGGGGTTTGCCAAGTTCCCCAGGCTAGTCTCAAACTCCTGGCCTCAAGTGATCCGCCCATCTCAGCCTCCCAAAGTGCTGGGATTACAGGCTTGAGCCGCTGCTGCCGGCCTATTATTTGGCATTCTCGAAAAAAATGATTTTAAATTATGATGGTCACCACTTAAAAAAAGTGTTTGGGGGTTTCCAGAATGGCATTTTTTTAATGCATAGGGTAACTTGGGGTGACTTTAGCATATTCCTTTAAATCTTTAAAAAATGTCTTTAAACTAAAATGAATAGTTCTCTAAAACCCCAGCTGTCTTGAATATATTGAAGCCACTAAAAACAAATGTGCATCTTCTTGATTACAAGATGTATTTGCAGAGGTTGTAACTTTGTAATCCACGTGATATGCCCAATGTTCTGGATGACACTGATTGTATCTTAAAAATCAATTTGCATGTATAAAATTGTGTATCATTTGATTACTTTGGAGGTTTTAAAAATATATTATAAAAAGACTTACATTGCATAGTTGTCTTCAATATCACAAAATTAGCATTCCTTAAATCAGATACTAACATCTTCCCAGAGACAGAAGACAGGACCTTCCAAATCATCAGTGCATAATCAAAGCCGTATGAAGTGAGTCACAACTCTGACTGTTACAGAATTGCACTTAAATAAAAGACAAAAAGTGGCAAATAATTCATGCTGTTAGAAATCAAAAAGGCGCACTGAGAGAATTCTGAGGTTTGGCAATGTTTTGCTTCATGATCTGGGTACAGTAATAACGTAGTCTTACAATGTATGTTCTTTTCTGTATTAATAATGAAATTGTAAAGGTATGAATAATTATTTTTCAAAATTCATGTTGGAGTATTCCAAGGTATAATTTTTTATTTACAACTGCTTTTCATGGTACTTTTGGTAATAATTTTATGGGAATTTTCCAGATAATATTTAATAATAAAGCATCTTTTAATTGGCAGAGTAACTGTGCTTGTGGGTTTGTACTTGATTATGTGTATGTGTGTGTGGTTTGTGTATCCAATGAATGACAGAATACAAACACTTATTTAGCAAATTCTAATTGTAACTTTTAAATCTGCTGAGAGTGTAGGTTGAAAATGTAGATTTAGTGTTATGTTTTTGAAAAATTTAGAAAGCTTTCTTAAATCTTTCATTCCACAAACAGGTTTGATTCAAGATAGAGAATTGCACAAGTGAGAACTCTGATGAAATGGCTGGTTCCTCATGCAGAAGATCCTAATAATCAGAATTATAAATCACTGGAGAATATCTGGACTTTGAGTCACTGAAACTATACTACAAAATGCACCCGTTAGTCAACATAATGAAATCCACTGCACACTATAGGCTTTTTATGAAAACGTACTTAAAACTGCTCTTTCCTGACGTTTGCTATGACAATCAGATATAGAACTGAAATATATTTCTGGCATCAAAGGAAGCTTTATACCCTGACTTAGAGAAACAGCTTTTCCAAAATGTCCTGTTTATGGATGTTTGCCAGCAATTATGTTCTTATTACTTAAAGGGGATAAAACAGTAGTAAATAAGTGAAATAAGTAGTCCTCACAATAAACATGGAATGTATTACATGTTTTGGGGAAATGAATAAGTGATCCTAAATATTTTCTGAATAACAGGAAAAGAAGAGTGAATTTTTTAGGTAGTTGTTAAAGAATATTCAACCCAACTCTTTATGTCCAAACATAGATTTGAATGGCACAAAAAACTATTTTGCCCAGAGAAAATTATGAAATTGATCTGGAGTAATTCATCCACATTTTTTTTTTCATTTGCATTTTGGAGATGTTTAAATTTCATGGAAAGTTTGTCTTAAATCAAAACTTTGACACCATTGGAGAAGTAGGTAGAACTACATGTGAGTTTTACAAAACACCAGAGTATCAAAGAATAGCTAGATTTTATTCATTCGTTCTCTGGTAAAATTCTCAAATTTTATTTTTACTTCAAATGTATCTGGTGTGGTAGGCTGAGTAATGGCCTCTCAGTGATATCCTTGTCTTAATCCAGGAACTTGTAAATGAATTAGCTTATACAGAAAAATGGACTTTCAGATGTGATTAAGTTAATAATCTTGAAATGGAGAGATGACACTGAATTATCCAGGTAGGTTCAATATCATCACAAGGATCTTTGTAAGAGAGAAGCAGTAGACTTAGAGTCAGGGAGAGAAAAGTTGTAAGGATGGAAGCAGAGCTCAAAGAGGAGAGATGCTACATTGACTGGCTTTAAAGATGGGGTATGGGGTGGGGCGTGAGACATGGAATGTAGGGCAGAATTAGAAGATGGAAAAGGCAAAGAAACAGATTTTCTCCTATAGCCTCCTGAAGGAACCAGTCCTGTGGACATAATCACTTTAGCTCAATATAACTGATTTTGAACTTATGGCTCCCAGAATTGTAAGGATATAACTTTGTGTTGTTTTAAGTCATGATATTTGTGGTCATTCATTTCAGCAGCAATAGGAAGCTAATATACTTGGCAATCAGTAACCAATAACTCCTTACTTAGTAAATGTAGTCTTTAACACTTGGAGCATTTTTTTTCTTACATAACTCTGTTTTACATGATTCCTTTTTTTTGTTAAGTTTTCATTTAAAAGCCAGTATCTTCTTCCAGACTTCTAAATAGTTCCTTCAGTTACTTGTGCTTACTCATTTTTATATTTCCAGGTGTGGTAAATACTTCTACTGTCTGCATTATATTTCCTTAGTCCTCAGCTGATCTCAGCTAGAATGGCTAAAAAATTCTATGTGACCTCAGGCTCATTTCACATTGCCAGTACCTGCCCCCACGAGTGCCTATTGCTCATCTTCTGCATTTGCTCTGGGACTTTTTCTCATACCCGGAGCAAGCTCCCTGCATGTTCAAAGTACACTACACTTAAACCCCCTGAAGAAGATAACATATCTAGTGGTGACCTTCAAATAAAGGGGCTCAGGAGCCAGTAAATAAAAATCTAAGCCACCAATATTTCAGGTGGATGCTTCCAAATTTCGTCTCTAATTTTCTCAGATTCAGAAAGAAGCAACTCCCACAGCCTACAACAGTGAATTTAATAGGGCAGCCTTGTTATGGCTTTTAATCTTGTCCCATCTCATTCTCACCACACGCATACCCCTGCTTCCTGTGATCATCTCTAAATCAACTACCTGCTCCAAGATCTTGTCTCAGACATGGCTTTCAGAAGAACCTGAAGCAATGCACCAGGATAATGTTAAGAGTCTTGAACACAGTAGTCAATCAAATGTTTCTTAGACAATTTACATTTGAAAAACGACTGATTAATGAGAAAGATTTAAAATATATTTTAAGAATTGTCTTGATTTTATTTCTACCTTTAATTACCTTCCATGATGATGGGTTTTTTTCTCCTGCATATATGTATTTAAATTTGAGTGGGAGTATCATTAGCATGCTGTTAAAACTTCTGGAATATGCCTACAATGGAAAGTATTTCTGAAATATGCTTATTAAAATGGTTACTCTGATTTTATGAGTTTTTTTTAAGGTAGACATTATGTTAACTTAAAAATGATTTATTAATATATAATTTAATTTTCACTGAAACATGGCAACTTATTGAAGGTCAGCTTCTCTTAAACATTCTTTTAACTAAAATCAAAAATGGTACATAACATTAAAAAAGATAAATTCTGATCTGAGATATAATGCATGCTGCTCCTAATTTGTACAGGCAGTGTTAAATGGACACACTTATACTAAGACTTAATAAGTTCAAGACTAACTTCTCCCCCTTTCCTACCCCCATACCCCACCATCGACTCCCAGCCTCTGCTAACCACCGTTCTATTCTCTGCTTGTATCAGTTTGACCATTTTACATTTCATGTGTAAGTGAGATAATGTGGTATATGTTTTTCTGTGCTTAATTTATTTTACTTAGCATAAGCTCCTCCAAATTCAGCTACTTTG
This sequence comes from Homo sapiens, assembly GCF_000001405.40. Classification (NCBI taxonomy): domain Eukaryota; kingdom Metazoa; phylum Chordata; class Mammalia; order Primates; family Hominidae; genus Homo; species Homo sapiens. The sequence continues at coordinate 86,485,935 of NC_000013.11, read as the reverse complement.
TCACTCATAAAAAGATTTCCTTATTTTTTAAGGCTGAACAGTATGCCATTGTGTACATATACCTCATTTTCTTTATCAAGATATTTATTGATACACTTAGATTGATTACATATTTTGGATATTTTAAGTAATGCCACTATTAACGTTAAACTACAGATATCTCTTTGACATATTGATTTTCATTCCTTTGGATATAAACCTAGAAGTGGAATTGTGGTTCATATGGTAGTTCTATTTGTAGTTTTTTGAGGACCCTACATACTGATTTCCATAATAGCTGTATGATGATTACATGCATACTTTTAGTGCGCCTTGAAGAAACATAAGCCTATATATATATAGTCTTTTACTTTTATTGGCTTATGTTTCTTCATATATATGTCTATATACACACATATACATTATTAGTATATATAGATAGATATTCATTATTATAATTTCTGTAAGAATCATGATTAGGTGGGAATGTCATATCTTAGTTTATGTATCTGGAGATGGTTTATGCTAATACATTTCCATTTATTTCTCTTCAAATTAGAAAGAATGTATACTCTGGAAATTGTTGCAAATGCAGTCTTTGGTACATAAAAAATAGTAAATAAAATGCTAGAAAATGATAAACTACAAATGTGTCAGTTACAAAATGTTGTATTAATATTCACATAATATGAATACTAAAACTTAACAATTCATGATTTAGACTCTCTTTTGATTTCTTACAAATACATTTGAGAAAGTAACATTGAAGATGTAGATTGGATAACTGGGGAAAAAATGGCTGACATTCAAAACAGAACTAATTAGGTATATATTTTTTTCTTTGCCAGCTATAATTTAACTGCACTATAAGACCATCCCTTGTGCATGTATTCATGAATTTTTAAGTTTAATGCACAGTTTTTTATGATCAAGTAGTAATGAAAATATTTATCAAAGTATCAAAGATCTAAAACAATAGTAACCCTAATTGATTAAAAAAGAGTAAAATAAACTATAGAACCAGGAAATATACTTAGTGCAATTTTAGTGTCACAGGGAAATGCAAAGAAGGTCATTCACAAGCAGTAAACTGCTAGAAAAAAAGATTAAAAGCAGACAGACCAAAAAGATATATTGCTTTCAAAGAAGTTGAGGCGGATGGTGGACTTCTGAATTAAAACTATGAAAAACAGAATATAATGGAATAATATATTGTTAAAAGCTGGCAATCACTAAAAGAAAATAAAACAATCAAAAATAAAATCTCTGTTTACAATATTTCCATCCTTTTATGGCTGAATAATATTGTATTGTGTATTTTTTAATGTATTCATCTATTGATAGACTTGTAGATTGGTTCCATATCTTGGCTATTGTGAATAGTGCTGCAATAAACATGGGAGTGCAGATATCTGTTTAGGTATATTGATTTCCTTTACTTTAAATATATTCACAGCAGTAGGATTGCTGGATCATACGATAGTCCTATTTTTAGTTTTTCTGAGAAACCTTCACACTGTTCTATAATGGCTCTAGTAATTTACATTCTCACCAACAGTGTACGAGGGTTCCCCTTACTATACATCCTTGTCAGCAGTTGTTATTGCCTGTCTTTTTGATTAAAAATAAAAACTATTTGAACCGGGGTAAGACGATGGATAGAACTGGAAGATATTACATTAAGTAAAATAAATCAGGCACATAAAGATATAATTTTGCATGTTCTCATTAAATATGTGGAAGCTAAAAATATTGAACTCAAGGAAAGGAGAGTAGAATGATGCTTATCAGAGGGTGGGAAGGGTAGTGGAGAGGGGACAGCAAAGAGGACATAGTTAATGGGTACAAAAATAGAGGTAGAAAGAATAAAATCTAGTGTTCGGTGGCACAATAGGGCAACTATTGTATATTGTAAAAATACAATAATTTATTGTCTATTGTAAATATACAATAATTTATTGTCTATTGTAAACAGTTTATTGTATATTTTAAAATGTACAATAAATATATTAAATATACAATTTATTGTACATAACAATTAAATATGCAATAATCTATTGTATATTTCAAAATAACTGAAAGAGTAGAATTGAAATGTTCCTAACACAAAGAAATAATAAATGTTTGAGGTGACGGATAACCTAATTACCTTGATTTAAGTGTGACATATTGTATTTTTATTTCAAAACATCACACGTAGTCCATAAATATGCATAACTAGTATGTATCCATAATACTTTAAAAGGACATAAAAATCTTGTTGATGTAGAATTCTGTACACCTAAAGTAAAGTGAAGATATTTTTAAACAAACAAGCTTGCAGAATTTGATATTGTTAGAACTACACTATAAAAAAATACAAAAGAGAATTTTTTCAGTCACAATGAAGATCATTTCCGATAGAAACACAGAAATTCAAGGAGGAATAAAAAGCAATGTAAGTATAGCAAAATTTACACTGGTGTTGGAAAACAATAAGAAGAACAACAGCAATGGCTTGTGGATGTACAACATGCAGAGGTGAAATATATGAGAGTATTACACAAATTCATAGAAAGTGAGTGGGGATGAATTAAGGTCCTTGTGTTATTTCAAAAGGGTTATAAGTAATTTGTATTTGTCTTATTTTTATCTAATCCTTCTAAATTAGTATCTTAGTCTGTTTGGACAAAATATCATAAATGGGTGGCTTATAAACAACAGAAATTTATTTCTCATAGTTTTGGATGCTAGATAGTTCCTGATCAGGAAAATCTGGTGTCTGTTGAGGGCTCATTTACTCATTCATGACATTGTCTTCTCAAACTTTGTCCTCACAGGGCACAAAGGAGAGGGGGTTTCTGGAGTTGGCTTTGTAATGCCAGTAATCCTGTTTATGAGAGCTGTGCCCTCATGACAGAATCATGTTCAAAAGGTCCTTCTGCTTAATACCATGACCTTGGGGATTTAATTTTAATTTCAACATAGGAATTTTGGGGAACATATTCAGTTCATAATATTTAGTATTATGTATTTTGTATATTTGCCATTTGAAATATTAATTCTTATGTTTTCTTATAATTAGTTTATCTAATTATTTGCTTTCTGCTATTTGTTTGTATCCAGAACACTGCCAGTTCAATTTTTATTGCCTTCTGTTGTCTCAGTATCTATTCTTGAACACCTACAATCTTGAAGTTCCAAGCTTTCAAAAATAAAGATTTGTTTATAACTTTAACTTGTTTTATGATATAAAATTTTGTTTTATTTTCCATCATCACTTTGCTTCTTGGCCCGTTTTATTAGTGCAACTGAGTACGTCTCATGATTAAGTTTTTTTAAATGCTAACCTTCCTTGAATATGTAACATTTATTCTTGGTCATCTGTTTATAAAGGCATGGGAAAAAACATCCCAGGAAGTGAACTGAAAATGCAAATCATTTACATTGTTTTAAGTTAACACTGAACACCATCTCACAGATACTGTGCTTTGTGGTTATGTCTCCTTCCTCTCCTCGAAGATATTTGTTTGGGTCAGAGAAAAGGCCAACATGTTATAGATTTTCATTATCCTTTTGTAACCATTATTATAATTCCTTTCATCAGAAAATTTAACTGGCAAGCTGATTAACACCTCCTGATTTCTCTGCAATGTGTCACAGAGACAGACAAATGCTCTTAGATGTTTGGGTTTTTTTTTGTTTTTGTTTTGATTTGCTTGTCTTTTTGTATGGGTTGGTAGGTAGGTTGGCTCAGTTTGGTTTGGCTTGCTTTGGCGGCAAGACACATCCACATTTCTAAATTAACCCTGACCTCATTTGCAATTCCTGCTTTTCTCTGATATTTCTACATGACTATTGAGCTTTGCCATGACAGGCCTACAAGTGCTCCTGACTTGCTCATTGTTGTCTAGTGTACTATTCATTCTACCTATAACACTTAGAACTGAAGTTGAGAGTTATGGACGACTTCTGGTTTCATAGGAGATAGTTTCTTTTCTGTTTTCTTTTCTCCCTCCTTGTTGATTTGAGGTGTTTTCAGAGATAAGATCTGTGATGAGATGTCTTTAATTTAATTATTATTATTATCCTTAATTAATTATCACCTAGTTGCTATTTATCCTAAAATTTGATCTCATTATGCAAAAAAAAAAAAAAAATCTCCTTTTGTTTCCATGTGATTCATTTTAAGAGATAATTGAAGAGGAAATAAAAGCAGTTAGTGCATAGAATATTAACGTGTTACTAACCTATTTTGTGTTCACAGGTTGGTATAGTACCTTCTTTGTAAACTGATAACAATACTTGATTATCACCTACTCTGTAGTGTCTATTAATTAATGACTATAAAGTTTATGATGAATACTAAGTATTTGAATTTAATAGAAGGTATTACCATTTAAAAAATTTTCATGACAATTTCTCCAAATTATAAAGCTTCTAAATGAAACAGGAATTAAAACTGTTTTGATGCAAAACTATGCTACTCAGATTTTTTAAATATTAAATTCAATATTAACTATTATAAAGAATTTATAATTACTTGGCATGTAAAATAATATATTTGTTCTCATAGGAGCCTATAAACTTTCTGTTATATATTTATTGAATTTTTCTATCACAGTCAATACCATTTCAGAGTTCTCATTTATTTTTATTAATTACCTATATTTAAAAATGTCAAGCAACATAGCAAGTGCTACATATCATTTCACATCGTTTCTAACAAGTACTATGGTTACTACCAATGCTGTTTCATAATGCTCTTGGCTTCTTAAAAAAATGTAATTTACTATGACATCTAACTTGCTAAATTATTATTGTAAAAAATTAAATATTTCACCTGTCCTGGGATTTTAAAACACATGGAAAATTTTTAAGAACTGAAGATTATTAAAAATGAGCTAAAAATAATAAATGATTCAGATTGAATCATATATCAGGAAAAGAGATGAAAACGTTTAATTTTTTACTTTATTTCAGCAATATAAAATTAATATACATTCCCTTTCAACATAGAGCTATAAGAGTTCATACGGAACAAAACCACCAATGAGTATCTCTAAATGCATAAAACATTTTACCAGAATTATACCTGGACAATTTTTGAATTGAGGTAATCATATGTCATTGCCCAAATTGCTGGAGCTCAATTTAAGAGATGTATGTTAAGTGCAAGATGGTAAGTTCAAACTATGGCATAATTATTAGCAAACCAGTGGCAATAACATCTGTTTTTTGTTTTGTTTTGTTTTGTTTTGTTTGTTTGTTTGTTTTTGAGACAGAGTTTCGCTATGTCGCCAGGCTGGAGTGCAGTGATGCAATGCCGGCTCACTGCAATCTCCGCCTCCCACGTTCAAGCGATTCTCCTGCCTCAGCCTCTGACTAGCTGGGATTACAGGCGCACGCCACCACACCCAGCTGATTTTTGTATTTTTTTTTTTTTTTTTTAAGTAGAGATGGGATTTCACCATGTTGGCCAGGCTAGTTTTGAACTCCTGACCTCGTGATCTGCCCACCTCAGCCTCCCAAAGTGCTGGGATTACAGGCGTGAGCCAGCGCACCTGGCCTGGCAATAACATCTTATCCAATTTTCCATACTCTTTTCTCCACCCCTACTGCATCAGTCCATTCTCACACTGCTATAAAGAACTACCTGAGACTGGGTAATGTATGAAGAAAAGAGGTTTAATTAACTAACAGTTCAGCAGGCTTAACAGGAAGCATGACTGGGAAGCCTCAGGAAACTTACAATCATGGTGGAAGGCAAAGGGGAAGCAGGCACCTTCTTCACCTGGTAGCAGGAGAGAAAGAGTGCGAAGGTGGAAGTGCCACACACTTTTAAACCATCAGATCTCCTGATAATTTACTATCACAAGAGCAGCAAGGGGGAAATCCGCCCCTATGATCCAGTCACCTCCCACCAGGCCCCTCCTCCAGTTCGACATGAGATTTGGATGGTGCCCTATCAAACCATACAGCCTCCTGTTGCTGATTGTGCTCTACGTGCTTGCATACTTATTGTACCTGAAAAACACCACAGTGTCACCTCAGGATCTATGCGTTGTGTGTTCTTTTTTGTTTCTCCTAAAAACATACTTGAAGAGGAGAGAGAAAAATATAGAGAGAGATACCCAAAACTATGTGATTACAGTTTTTCTTTCTTTCTTTCTTTCTTTTTTCTGAGATGGAGTTTTGCTCTTGTCCCCTGGCTGGAGTGCAATGGTGCGATCTTGGCTCACTGCAACCTCTGCCTCCTGGGTTCAAGCCATTCTTCTGCCTCAGCCTCCCGAGTAGCTGGGATTACAGGCACGCATCATGCCATGCCCAGCTAATTTTTGTATTTTTAGTAGAGACAGCATTTTACCATTTTGGCCAGGCTGGTCTCGAACTCCTGACCTCAAGTGATCCGCCCGCCTTGGCCTCCCAAAGTGCTGGGATTACAAGCGGGAGCCACCGCACCTGGCCTGATTACAGTTTTTCTAAATGTGTAGAATTAATCTCTTGTTCACTTCTTCATAAAGAGTAACCTATGCACTGTTGAAGGGTGAATACTTATAAATGAATGGAGACTTGTTTTTATAAGTTTTGATGTATAATATGAGTTAAATATCAAATGCCCCAAATATTCTCTAGTTAATTAGAGGCACTGAAGAATCCAAACAAAAAGTCTGGCAGGAATTGCTTATCAATGGTGTGTGTGGTAAACTGAAAGAAGCACTGTATGTGGACACAGATAAACAGGAATTGAAATTCCAGTATTGGCGTGTATACTTCAGGGGAAATTAAACAATTCAGTTGTCTTCCAGTGTTCTCTAGTTAATATATTACAAATTGGAGAGCATAAATACAAAGGAATCAGAATGGAATAGACCATACTTTTCTTAGAAACTGACCTATATTGATGGCACAAAATATAGGATTCCACTGCATGTTTTATCTTTTCAACTTTAACATTCTTTTCCATATTTCTTTATTTCCATTAACAGTATTTTATACACACAATGATATTTCATCACATTCAACTATGATCAAACTTCCTTCACTTCCTCCTCCTCCACTGATGTGTTTTTGCTGTGGGGAAAAGTATTATCACTTTTCTCTTTTGGCTCTATGTAGAGTCTTACTAGCACAATTTGATCTTCTGTCTGCCACTACAATTAATTCAGAATCCAATGTGAAACCCCTCTGGAGTTAACTTTCTTTTTGTATCTGCCTCTCAAAACAGGGTTGCATTCTGACTCATCTGATCTCAGAGTAACATAGCTGTGCAAATGACTAGGTAAATAAGTCTGTTCCAATCAAAATTCTGTATTATTTATTATTAATTCCATTAACAGTACATCTGAAGTTCCACTCTTTGATCCGATTTAGTAGTAATAAGCTTACATGTTTTCCTTCCAACATTCTGACTACTGATCCATATCTTGCTACTTGTCTCAACCTTGGGAATAAAATGGTGGCTATTTTTTTTCTTTTTCTTTACCCCACTAAACCTTAAAGATTCTCTCTGCAAATAGTACCTGAAATTATCTGAAATAACAATTCTCAAACTTCTTGTTCTATGGCTATATTTAGATCTAATCACCTCCTTCTTTGCTCATAAATTATTCCATACATTTTGACAATAACTATTTGAATGTCTTAATTTGTAATAAAACAGTTTCTTTTCTCATTCTTACTATAATTTATTTTTGTACAGATGTTTTTATGTATATTCCTGCAATCTCTCATCTCTCAAGATAATCAACAGTGGGGATTACTACCCCTCCCACCAAGACTCAGTTTGTTCTTGCCAAAACCCCAAAATAGCCTCAGCAGAGTCTGACTTCAATTTTTTTCCTCAAAGTCTAAATTATTCAAACTTATGCAATTAATTATTAATGTGAAACATTAACTGTACTATCCATATTGAGCTAAGACAAGCAGAGACTTGTCTCTACTTCTTTAAATTCTTTTTTTCATAATGAGATAAAGGAAATATCCTCATTTCTATTCCGAATGTTAGAAGAGTGGCTTTTCATATGTTGTAAAGAACTGCTGCAATTACTCAAACACAATACCCACAGAAAATAAAATATCATGCAGATTCAATATAATCTACAGAAATATTTAGAAAAAGGGGATCTTTCAGGGAAACATTGTTTTGAGAGATTTGGCACTCTGTGTTTTTTGCCAACCTTTCACACGTTACCTTGTCGTACAGTTGTCATGTGTGTTGGTTTCAAAAAAAAATCTCCTTTTTAAATCTAGCTATTGTTTTATATTTGCATAAATAAGAACCTCTTATGTAGTTTTCCTAGAGCCTAGGTGAAAATGTTCAACATTTTTAGAATTGAAAAGTGCTTGTTCTTTTGAAATGACTAGTTATATTTTCTGAAATCTACTTGTTAACTATTCCTTGTTTCAAATATCTTAAGTCCAAGTTAATGTTAAAAGACCTAAGAGTTCGGATTAGCTATTTTCCTCTTTCCTCTTCTTAGACTTTGAATGGTATATTTTTAAAAATTCTAAAACAAAAAAAAAACCCTAAAATTTTTTTCCTAATTAATGTGATGATGGCTGTTCCATTCCGTGTCCTAAACTGAGTTATCTCTGTCTTTCTGATATAGAAATCCTTGTTACACTAAAGAAAGGATTATCATAAGTATAGCTATGATATGATAACATAAATCTACATGTTTATAGATGAATATGCTCATACTTAAAATAATTTATCAGATAGATATAGATGTAATCATATAATCATAGTTCAGCCTCAATACTATTCTTGGAATTCATGTTTGTAATGAATCCCTTAAGGAAACAATCCCCAACCTTTTTGGCACCGGGAACGGTTTCATGGAAGACAATTTTTTAATGGACCTGGGTGGTGGGGGATGGTTTCGGGATGATTCAAGTGCATTACCTCTTTTGTGCACTTTATTTCTGTTATTATTATATTGTAAGATATAATGAAATGATTATACAACTCACCATAATGTAGACTCAGTTGGAGCCCTGAGCTTGTTCTCCTGCAATTAGACTGCCTTATGTGGGAGTGATGAGAGACAGTGACAGATCATCAGACATTAGATTCTTATAAGCAGGGCAAAATCTAGATCCCTCACATGCGCAGTTCACAACAGGGTTCGTGTTCCTATGATAATCTCATGCCGCCCCTGATCTGACAGGAGGCAGAGCTCAGACAGTAACGCTAGTGATGGGAAGCAGCTGTAAATACAGATGAAGCTTTGCTTGCCCTCCACTCACATCCTGTTGTGTGGCCTGCTTCTTACCAGGCCATGGACTGGTAACGAGCTTGTGGTTTGGGAACCCCTGCCTTAAAGTACATATGTGTATTCCTAAAAGTCTATGAACTGTCTCAAATGTAATATTGGTTGTAAATTATATCTGTCATTTAATACATAACAATTCATTTTTCATTTAGTGTTGCAGTAGGAAAACACAAATTAGTGTTGCCATATTTGAAATTCATGGTTACCTTTGCATTTTAGAGAATAATATTTAAGGCCACTAGTTCAGAGTAATTTTTTTTAAATTCTGGAGAAATAACCAATTTTTTCAGAAAAAATATAACTCGAGAGAAAAACTATGTTATAATCAAAATAGATTTCTTTTTTACTATTAGCTAGTGTGATTCTACAGTTCATACAGGGCATATAGCTTATTTCTACAAGATAGATATTTGCTAGTTTTCTTCCATTTCTATCAGATTATAGTTTTATGCTATATGTGCATTGTCAGAACTTTTGATGTTATTGTCCCTGATATATGTTTTTTATCATAATTATGTGCTTAATTTAGAGTTATTTTCATTACTGTAAGATTTTTATATCAAGACCTGCAACTGTTACTTGGCTCATTTGCCTGATATTCTAAAAACTAAAGAAGTTGGGTGAAAGAGATCTGTTAATAGCCAATCCTGACAATCTTAAAACAGTGTCCAGATCCTGTACTGACTGTCCCATGCTGCACTGTTTATACCCACGAGACTAGCACACCAACAAGGTCAAGAATATTCTAATTAATTTTGAAATATTAGTTTAATTTCAGAAGGCATTTGAAACATTGAGGAGGAAATTTTTAAAAATCCTTGTTTACTTAGAATTTTACTTAGGTCAATGAAGAGAAAGCACTTTAAATTCTTAGGGCTTAAGGAGATGATATGGTTTGGCTGTATCCCCAACCAAATCTCATCTTGAATTGTAGCTCCCATAATTCCCTCATGTCCTGGGAGGGACCCAGTGGGAGGTAATTGAATCATGGGGGAGGGTCTTTCCTATGCTGTTCTCCTGATAGCAAATAAGTCTCATGACATCTGATGATTTTATAAAAGGGGAGTTCCCCTGCACATGCTTTCTTGCCTACCACCATGTAAGATGTGCCTTTGCTTCTCCTTTGCCTTCCACCATGATTGTGAGGCCTCCTCAGCCACGTGGAACTCTGAGTCCATTAAACCACTTTCTTTTATAAACTACCCAGTCTTGCGTATGTCTTCATTAGTAACATGAGAACAGACTGACACAGAAGGTGTGTTTACACAGTCTCTACATATTTTGTTAGTTTAAAGCAAACCAACCAACCTACTGAGGACAACCAGAAAGCCAAGTAGAATATACATAAAAAATCTGTTTGAGGGCGCTGAACAGTTACCAAGTCCAACAAAAATTGAGGGGCTAATATCTGGGCATAAAGCCTCTGTTCCACATTGATTCTTAAGGCATTTGGCATTACTGTACACAGTGATTTGAAGGCAGCCAGAGAAAATGTGGAGATGCTGAGCAGACATTTTCACAGTTTTATATGTATTAGCATAAGCTAAAACAGACATCAGGTTTTTGTAAGATGGAAGGAAGCCAGTAAACACCCAAGGTTTGTGCATGCAGTCTCTAAAGGGATACAGCTGAGGTGCAAATTTACACAAAAATACACTAGCCTTCACCTAGAGTGAATCTCTGATTTGAATCAGCTCAATTCCCAATTGGATTTTTTGTGATGTGCCCCTACTTAATGTCAGTCAAGGGTTAGAGTACTTGAAAAGAACTTCTTATGTTCTTATGAACCTATGAAGCCAAAAAATCAGTTTAGATCCTGACAAGTTAGAAGTCCGTGACAAACAAGTCAAGGAATGGCTTCCGTGTTTAATCATCATGATAATTCAGACTTCAGCTGGCAACCATGAAAGTCAGCACATAAACACCATAGTTGTCCAAACATAGAATACCTTACATAATTAGAGAAATTCAAATGGAAAAGTGGTGTATTCTCAATTGGTCAAGGTGATCTGCCAGAAACAAAAGTGAATTCTTTCCAGCAAGAGAAAAATATGATAATTTACAAATTATTTCTGAAATGTAATGGTTTTTTTGAAGAAAGCATGCTCTTATTTATGCAATACACTTGGTAAAGAAGAAGCCTGCACATTATAAATCTATGTAAAATTGGGCAAAATATATAAACACAGGCAACTGTGATTAGGTATTTGATCTTAATCCCTGATCCTGAATACAGGAATGCAAAAACGTGAGCCACATTCTTTAGATCCTCCCATCTGACTGGGATAATTCCACAACTGTGGCAAAGCAAGCTGGAGTTCAAGCAGAATGTGATCTTTCCAGTGAGGTGAGAAAGCAAGGAACATTTTCAGGATAGGTGAAGCAACTGTAATCCCTGAGACTTTTAGATTGGGAAAATAACTTATGCAGCAGGGAAAACCAGGACCCACTCTGAGTCTGAATAAGGGCTTCAGAAGAGCCTATCTATAGCTTACAGAGCATGGGTTCTGTGGATTTGAGAGAAGAACAAGGATACTAGTGACTGAAAAGTTCTATAGGGTGTTGAAGATCAGCAGAAATTATTCCATTCTCATACTTTGTTAATACTCAAAGCCTTCAGCTTAGACACTAGAAAGGCCTTAACTTTGGATAAGGTACATGACCTGTAGTAAGTTTTAAACTATGTCCACCCTGACAAAGTACAAAATTTTACCACATAAGGAACTGAGAAGGAAACAGAGTTTATATGTAGGATCCCACCCATTTGGAATTGCCTGGGGGGTCAAATATGAGGCTTTCCAATCATCATCCAATCACAAATGCACAAGCTCAGAATGAACAGCAAGTAACTAAGTTGAAATCTACAACATAAACTCAAACCTATTCATATAAATATAACAAAATGCAAAGATCTAAAACTTTTTATGCAATAAAGAGTAGGCAAGCAATATAAAATGCCAGACTTGAAGAGAAACAGGAACATGACACATATCCCATATGCAGTCCACAGAACCCAGCATGTAGCTAACATTGAATTTCAGGCAGCTACTATAAATATGTTTAGAAAAAAATGAAGAAAAAATAATGATTGAAAATATAGAATATGTCGGCGGAGACATGAAAACATGCAAGTAAATAAACCAGATCATTCTTGATCTGCACCAGCTCTGGATGATAACCAGTATCCAGACTGTACACAGAGGTTTGCATGGTAGTCATTCAGATCTTTACAAACATCAGAGTTTCTTGTTTGTGTGTGCTTCTTGTGTATATTGTTTTTTGATTCCTCTGAGGCTGCACATCATTTGATTACCTATTTGACTAAAATTTTGAAGACAAGAATTTCCATTAAAGTTTTCAAGGTATTTCAAAGTCATGGTCCATAAAAATCTATCCCATTAATTATTTCTATGTTCTTTAGATAACTAAGTGACATTTCCCCTTCAATTTAATGGAAAATATTTGATTTTATTAGCATCTGAAGAATTATCCCCTGTCTGGGGACTGTTAGGTGTAAGGTTCTTAAAAGCACACAAATTAAAGGACTGGGCACCCATTAGCAATGTATTATCTTGAATTATTATAGAGAGGAGAAAATAACCAAGAAGAGAAAGAGAAACAAGTGTGCAAAGTGACACTTGTCAACTTCTGACCTCTGTGGGGTCTTTATCTGATGGACTTAGAGGAAGAAGATCATTTTATGTTGTTTTCTCCCCTGTAATTTAAACAGAGCCTACAAAACTGACTCAGGCACAAGTAATATATGGGGTAGTGATATCAGCAATACCAGATTATTTTAAATATTTTTATCATTAATATTACTAACTATTCCTTTTTTTTTTCTTTTTTTTTGAGACTGAGTCTCACTCTGTCGCCTAGGCTGGAATGCAGTGACACCATCTCGGCTCACTGTAAGCTCCGCCTTCCGGGTTCAGGCCATTCTCCTGCCTCAGCCTCCTGAGCAGCTGGGACTACAGGCACCCGGCACCACGTCCGGCTAATTTTTTTTATTTTTGGTAGAGACGGGGTTTCACCATGTTAGCCAGGATGGTCTCGATCTTCTGACCTCATGATCCTCCTGCCTAGGCCTCCCAAAGCGCTGGGATTATAGGTGTGAGCCACTGTGCCCAGCCATTATTAACTATTCCTATAAGTATTTATTAGTAACAACATATGTATCCTCTTTATTAATAATAATAATGTGTCTAGTACTAGTTCTTACTAAAGAATTTTAAGATTTTTGTGTGCTTGTTTTTTTTGTTGTTGTTTGTTTTTGTTTTTTTTAGAAAAAACAGTGCAGCTGGTAGTGACAGAAGGCAGCCAAATGCCTAGGCAGGTAAGGGGCAGGTGCCCAGTGAAACCCCACCTCTAAGCCGAAGACAGTTTAAAGCCTGAAAGCCAAACTAGAAGTAAATCCTTAGACTGGATTGAGAACGTGTCCTCCTGTTTGGCACACATTCCTCTGATTGATCCCCACCCTTCACCTATTTTACATATATCTACCCTTTCCTAATTGGTTTTCTACATTGTCATGCCCACCTTTGAGTGGTGGCTTTGCTTTAACCTTTTTTTGCATACTCACAAGCCAATCAGTACACACTCCTCTTCCTGTGCCTATAAAGATCCCAGACTCAGTTGGTAGAGGGGGAGACGGCCTGACTCCGGAAAGAAACAACTTGACTTCGGAAAAGATGAACTGCCCCTCCTGTGCTCTCTCCAGCTCTCCTCTCTAGCTCCCCTCTCTAGCTCCCCTCTCTGCTGAGAGCCGTTTCATCACTCAATAAAATTATCTGCCTTCACCAGCCTTCAATTATCCAAGTGACTTCTATTCTTCTTGGATGCTGGACAAGAGCTCGCGACCCACAAAGTACAGCTACCTAGAAAAGGCTTTCACACTGGCCCTTTGCCCTTGCAGGCAGAGGGCCGCCACCCCACGCAACGAGGCAAGGGACCAACTGAGCTGCTAAAACACTGCCGTCCATCAGACCGTGAACGGCAGAACTAAAAGAGCACTGTAATACCCACTCTAGGGCTTCTGGGTGCCGAGCATCCTCATCTGGGTGCCACTGCATTCCCCTCGAGGTGACACACCTGGTCTGGCTATGGGCCCCGCATGGAGCTTGCTCCTGTGTTGGCACCTGGAGAGGCCAGCCAGGTCCTGCACTTAACTCACTCATGTGCTCCCTCCTGCAAGGGGATGAGTGCAGCAGGCTGAGTAGAGGGGGCACCCCTGCTGTGAGTTTAAGGATGGGGCCAAGAAAAATCCTGCATCACAGCTATAGATTGTACCACTCAAACTTGTGATGTTTGGCATGCGATGTTACTAGAAAATTTGCCAGTTTTTCCTCTAGAAGCAGTAAAAATCCACCGCTATTTCACCTAGAATGAATCTTATGTGACACCTGCATTTTCACAGCAACAGATTCCATAACATGCATTATTTTAATTGACCTTTTACATCAGCATTCTTGGTTCACTTAAAGTTCATAAGTAATCCCATTTTGTATTCTGTCTTGGCCTGGTCACCAAATTCTAATTTAAGTTATACATGCAGACTTTTATAAAAGAATCAAACCTTTTTGCCAAAATGCTTCCATTTTAATTTCCAATATAGATGCAGTTCACAAATCACATAAATACAATAGAGTATTCAAAATTGAAATGAGACCAACAGTGCCATCCAACATTTCATATCCTTTTCTGGCAAACACTTTTATTTCCTAATGCTTTAAAAAGAAATCATGGAAAAAAATGCACAATGAGTTCTAGAAATTGAAATCAGTGAAACAGATAAAATCCCATTAATGATTTATTACATGATATTCCATGGTTTGTTACCTGTAATACGTGATTAAATTATACCATTAAGATAGTCTGAACATTACTATTTTGAGAATGTCTAACTTTAAAAAATAGCTTTCCATGTACAGTAACAGTGTTTTGGGTTATTAGTTTATTAGCTTTTTTTGCCAACTCACTGAATATTTCATAAATAATATTCAATAGGTACTTCTAATTAAATATTTAGTTTGAAATCAAATATTTTAAAATCTTTCTTCTCCCAAAACTGTATCAAAATGCAAATATATAATCAATGTTGTAAAAACATATGGGAAAATTATACTAGATGGGAGCTAACAATAGACAAAGAATGCCAACAACTTTGGAAATATAAAAAGTGGATGAAGAATTAGTCAATAAGCATTGCTGAATGTAAGTGCTTGCCCATAGGAAATGAGAAGCAGGAGCTTGATAATTTTTACTTTCAAACTGGAGAAAATTCCCACATTTGTAGGCACTGCAGGACACAAAGCACAGGTGAGACAAAAACTTGGAGAATAATTTCCTCTGTTCCAGGCCCAGATTACTTCTAAGTATCTTACAGAGAAAAAAAAAAAAAAAAAAAAAAGAGCCAGAGAAACTTCCCTGGGGAATCTCAAGCTAGCAAAGAGCAAGAAAGCAGTAACCTTGGCACAATATCTTGTTAGGCATTATTGGGTTCTGTTGCTAATCTCCTTTCCCTTCTCTCCTCCCAATTACAAGAATTGCTGGATAAATTTAAATGAATTAGACAAATCATGATTCTTCCCCTGGGACTGGCTAGGTTGCTGCCTGAGCAAAGCCCATGGATCCTTTACAATAGATGTAGATGGGGATGTTGAACAACTGTCATTGTCGTCTAAAAGAAGTGAAATATTGAGTGCTTGGTCTATGGAGTTCACAACTAATGTTTCCATTTTTCCAATATACTAATAATGTGGTGATATTAAATTACATTAACAAAAAGAGATAATAGGCTATAAAATTAATATTTGAGCATTTTTATTTTCAAAGTAGCCTATATAAGCTACATGCAAAATTATGCTTCTTATTTCTGGGTTGATAATTTCTGGTATTTATATGACCTTCACACAAATATTTTGATAGAAAAATAAACCTGAAAATAGCAAATTAAAATTATTAAGGGTTTATGAGATGAAGAAGTCAGTCACAACAAATAAAATCCTTTTTGTGGAAATTATTTTTTTTAAGATCATCACTGTAAAAATACCAAATAAACAGAATTGTGATATTGACATGTCTTGGTACAGATTTTCATATATTTTGCTTTTCTGACAATTTGTTAATTACTCTTCCCAAATCAACAATGCAAAATATAATTGTCTAAAACAACCTTTGAATATACCTCGTAATATGCTACTTCTATATTTGTCACCCGTCTTAATAATTGACCCCACAATTTACTTTGTTGTTGCTCAAATTAAATAAACTACAGCCGTTCGTGACTCCTCCTTTCTCGTATATACTTTATGCAATCAATTACAAAACATTTCAAGGTACCTAAAATATATATTTTGAACTCATTATCCCCTACCACTTCTACTATTTTACCCCGAATTCTCATTTTGGACTACTACAGAAGTACTCTCCTTGACTTCATCCCTGCCCAATTTCACATAGATTGTTTTTCTATATAGCAACAAATGGGTTCTTTAAAATTCTGTGTCAAATAATATCATTCAACTCACTACCAGAAAACTCCAGTGGTTTTACCACACCAGACTACCATTTGTTTAAGAAGGTGTCATTTCCTTGTTGTATGTTTTAACTCCTTTGTCAAAAGTCAATTGGCCGTAAGTATGTGTTTTTATTTCTGAGTTCTCTATTTTATTCCATTGGTCTATGTGTCTGTTTTTAAACCAATACTATGCTGTTTTAGTTAATGTAGCCTTGTAGTACAATTTGAAATCAGATAGTGCAACGTTTTCAGCTTTATTTCTTTGGCTCAGGATTGCTTTGGGTATTTGGCTTTTGGTTGTTGTTTTTCCATGAGAATTTTAAGATTATTTCTTCTATTTCTGTGAAAATTGATGTTAATGCTTTTATAGGGATTACATTGAATCTGCAGATTTCTTTAGATAGAGTGGTCATTTTAATGATATTAATTTTTCTAATTCATGAGCATGGAATGCCTATCTATTTGTTTGTGTCCTATTCAACTTTTTTCTTTGGTGTTTGTAGTTGTCCTTGTAGAAGTATTTTACCTTCTTGGTTAAATTTATTACTAGGTATTTTTTGTTTTTTTGGTAGCAGTTGTAAGTGGAATTGCCTTCTTGATTTTTTTTCTTGCTTCTTTCATTGTCAGTGTTTAGAAATGCTGCAGCTCTTTTATGTTACTTTTGTATCTTGAAAAATACAATAATTTGTATATGAAGTATTTGCTGAATTTACCAGATCTGAATTTACTTATCAGGTCTAAGAGTATTCTGATGGAGTCTTTAGGATTTTCTAGATATATCATCTGCAAAGAGGAAAAATTTAACTTCTTTTCCCATGTTGATGACTTTTATATATTTTTCTTGCCTGATTGCTCTGGCTAGGATTTCCAGTACTATGTCGAATAGGAGTGGTGAAAGTGGACATCTTTATTTTATTCTAGTTCTTAAGGGAAAGGCTTCTAGCTTTAACCCCCTTTAGCATGATGTTGGCTGTGGGTTTGTTTTATATGGCTTTTATTATGTAGAGCGATGGTTCAACTATGCCTAGTTTGTTTAGAGTTTTTATCATGAATAAATGTATTTTATCAAATGGTATTTGTCTACTTCTATTGAGATGATCATTTGGTTTTCATCTTTCATTTTATTAGTGTTATATATTATGTTTATTGACTTGCATGTGTTGAACTATGCTTGCATCCCTGGAATAAAACTCACTTGATCATAGTGAATTATCATTTTGATGTCCTGCTGAATTCAGTATATTAGTATTTTGTTGAGGATTTTTATGTCTATGTTTGTCAGGGATATTGGCATCTAGTTTTATTTGTGTGTGTGTGTGTGTTTGTGTGTTTGTGTCTGTGTTTGTGTGTCTGTGTGTGCCCTTATCTGGTTTTGATATTAGGGTAATGCTGGTCTTGTAGAAAGAGTTGAGAGAATTACACTCCTCTTTGACTTAATGGAAATCTTCTTCACAAATTTTAGCAGACTGTATATAAACTGGACCTGAGTAAGCATGCCTGCATAAATAAATAAATAAATAAATGCCTCTCAGTGATTTCGATACACTATTTTCTCCCTAACCATACAGCAGTAATGTACTATTATAATTCTCAAAAGCTTTTGACTGATGTTCAAAAGTAAATTGATACTCATTAACTATTAATTTAAAATATGGTTGTCTTCTTTAAAAATTACAAGGATTTGTGAGAAAGTTTTCTTGGCAAATTTGTCATATTTCTCCATAGATCATTTACTTGATAAGTTTTTAGCTGATTTCTCATGTTAGCATATTTATCATTGACTTAATCTGATTGTTGTGCAGAAGAACTGTGGGAATCCATAGTCTGAGAAATGGCAAACCACTAAATATATTATAATTCTGATTCCCCTAAAAAGTATTTTTTTAAGTTTTTAATTATAATCAAATATCATTCTAACTGATATCAGAAAGAAAATCCAAATTAAATTACTCTTTTATGCTTTACTGTTATAAGTCTTTGGGGTAATTTTTATTCTATTATGTAGTTCCTGTAGAGAACACTTAGCACTTTTAAAAACATTTTTGCTCACTATTAATTTTAGAAGTGTTCATCAGGCTATTTTGTGGTGAGTGGCAAATTACTTTTAGTAGTTTAAAGAAGTCTTTTAAAACTCACATGACTTCTTTATTTATTGTTCCTCATTTTTTGTTCTTCACCTATTTGATATTATGCATTAGTCATTCAAGGGCATAATTAACATAGACAATCTCTTTCTGATTCTCAGGATAAATAGCAATGCTTTTATATAAATTCATCAGAATTTATTGAGTAAAGCAAAAAGAAAAAAAAATCACAGAGTGCTTTTTTGGGAGAAAGCCATACAGACATTCTAAATCAAAGCCAATAACTTAGTTATTTGATATAGATTAACACAATGTTGAGTTGGAAAAACACAATCATGAAGGAATAATTATTGGAAGAGTAGTGAGTATTTTAAGGAATAGTGAGTATTTTAAAACTCTTGTAGGTAAATATAATTTCAAAATTATAGTGTTTAAATTTTACCATTTGATTTAATTATTTCTATGCAAGAAGAGTAATGATTACTTTGGGAAAAAGGTAAGTGGTGCAGCAGATAGCTGAAAAACAATTTATTTCACATTTATATAAACATATTGTTTCCTTTCTATTCTTACATACCTACAATATAATTTACTTGCAATTTAGAATATAATCTAAGTTATCAAAGTTCTTTTTTTTCTATCAATTTAGAGGTTCTACTCTTAGAAATTTGATTATGGAAAATCTAAGTTCACTGGCTAAACTAAATGGTACTTTACATATAGCAGAATAAAAGGTCAGTATAGTTGAGAATAAATGAAAAGAAATTATTTTAAGTAAAAACAAATAAATAATAAAGTTTGGGGAAAAGTAAAAGAAACTCAGTGATCTCTGGTGGATGAGAAAGCAGATATGGTGGTTAATTTTGTGTCAACATGGAGGGTTTCTTTTGATGAAATTTACATTTAAATTGGTGACATTTGAATAAGCAGACTGCCTTTCATGTGGGAGAACCTCTTTTAATCAGTAAAAGGCCTGACTAGAACAAAAAGACTGGCCTCCCTGAACAACTGTGTTTTCTATTTTGTTTTGTTGATTTGTTTGTGGTAAGAACATTTAAGATGAGACCCATTTTTTTTTACAGAATTTTAAGTATACAATAACTTATTAACTATAGGAACAATGTTATACAACACATCTCTAGAACTTTGTCACTTTGTATAACTTTAATTTTTTACCCATATACCTATTTTTATATAAAGATGTGATAAGTTTAAAGCAAAGTAATTAAAATACCTATGCCATTCTAAGACAAATTTGTAGAAAAATTAATTGGCTATATTACTATCAAAGTAGAATTTGGTACATAAAATCTCACCAAAAAGAGAAGACATCACAATCTTAAAATACTATAAGATAAAAACTAATAAGAGTAAAATGTGAAATATAAGAATCCACCTTTATATTTAGGAAATTCAACAAACCTCTCTCAGTAATTACTGCAATATATAGACTGGGAATTGGTAAACAGTGTTTGAAAAACAGTGTTAAAAATTTGTCCTAGTTGATATAAGCAGCATACCCTAGCAAATATCAGAATACAACTCCCTTTCAAGTTCATGTGGAATACTTATCAATATAATTTATATTCTGGTATATAAAATCTCAAAGAATTTATTATAATAGAAATCTACAAACTATGTTTTTGGATCATGATTGAATTAAAAATCAATCATATCATGTGCTTATAAAATTATTAATTGGATATTATCAGTATACTTCTAAATATATCATAAACCCCAGAAAAAATCTTGAGAGAAATAAAAAAACACTTGGAATTAAATGAAAATAAACATATGATGTAATATTTTGGGGATACAGATAAAGCAATGCTTAAAGAGATATTTACAACATACATGTTTCTATTAGAGAAGAAAAATATAATATTCTAGAATGATAAAAATCCCAGGTACAAATGACTTCACTAGCAATATATACAAATCATATGGGAACAAATTATACCAGTTTTATATAAACTCTTCCAAAAGTAAAAGAAAAGCAAAATATTTCCATCTCATTTTATAAATCCAACATTATTATACCAAAACCAGATAAAGACAATACCTGTCTATATATTTTAAAAACTGTAGAACAATAACTTTGATGAATACAGTCACAAAATATTTCTTTACAAAATACTTTTAAATCAAATCCAGAAATACATATTGACAAACTTCCAGTGTGATCAATTGTGGTTTATCTCAGGTTTCAATATTGAAAAGTAACCAATGTTACCATAAGAACATGTTATAAAACAAAACCAAACCAAAATCATGCCATCACACTGTACGTAGTAGAAGCTTTGGCTGAAACTCGGTATATATTCGTGATGAATGCTGCCTGAAAACTAGTAATAGAAGGGAACTTCTGCAAACTGATGAAAGCCTTCTGTAAAAAAACTAGGACAACACACTTTTGCTGAAAGTCATAGTGTTCTTAGAAAATTCCGGCCTCTTTAGTGATGAAATGTAAATCTTATAAAGATAGACGATATTTGCATTTGTTTTCCCAGAAGCATTTCTTTACTCACATGTCATCATTTTTAGGCTTACAACTAATTGCCTCCTTTTAGAACATTTACTTTTGTCCAAAGGATAACAAAACTTGTTTTTCCTTCAGAAACAGGTGCTTACATACTGCATTAGGGACAATTGTCATGAAAGTTATGGGATACACTGATAAAAGTTAAATTTGTGACCTCCGGAGGGAAGTAGAGAGTCATCTCCCTATGAGTTTACATTTCGAAGGAGGATAAAACTTTGAGTTATGTGTGATTGTGTTTTGTGCATTTACAAGTACAGTGAAACTTCACACACTTCTCAGTTGGGGATTCAACAAAAACGACAGCTAAGAAGTAAAAATACACAGTGCTGGTCTGGATTCAGAGCATCTGGGATTTTTATATAATACTGGTGGACACACAAAATTGTGCAACCACTTAAGAAAACAAATGGGTTTACATATAATTATATACTTAACACACAGTCATATACTTACAATACAAAAATGTGTTTCATCATATGTTTACCATATAACCTAGTAATCCCACTCTTATTTATTGGAATTAAATGAAGACGTCATAATCTTAAAATACTATAAGATGAAATTCAGTTTATCTGTTTTCGTTGTTAATCTTGCTTTATGTATCATATCTGAGCATCTATTGTTATATCCAAGATCATAAGGATTGTTCTTTATGTATTCTTCTAAGACTTTCTGGTTCTAGCACATATTTAGGGCACTGGTCTTTTTAAAATTAATTTCCATATATAGCGTGAAATAAAAATCCAGTTTTACTTTTTTGTATGCAGATATCCAGTCATACCAAACCATTTTAAAGAACTATCCTTTCTCTATTGAATTGTTTTGACACCCTGTCAAAAATTAATTTTCAGTAAATATTTAGAGAATATTCTGGACTCTTAATTCTATTCAATTGATTTATTTGTTTATCTTTCTACCAGTACTACAGTATATTGGTTATTGTAGGTCTGTAGTAAATTTTGAAATCAGGAAATATGAGTTCTCCAACTCTATTCTAAAAAAAAATAATAATAAAAAAGTTTGTTTTGGCTGCTTAAGTCCTTTGCATCTCCATATAAATTTAAAAATCTGCTTCTCAATTCCTATAGAAATACATCAGGGTTGTTAATAGAACTGCAATAAATCTATAGATCAAAGAAATTTAACTATCTTAAAAATATTAAGACTTCCAATTCATAAAATTGTAATCCTTTCCATTGATTTAGGCTTTTTATTTGTTTGTTTCCTTGAGACAGGGTCTTGCTCTGTCACTCGGGCTGGAGTGCAGTGGTGCTTCTCCAGCTCACTGTAGCCTCGAACTTCTGAGCTCAAGTGATCTTCCTCCCTCAGCCCCCCTCATAACTAGGACTACAGGTACGTGCCACCAGCCCCGACTAATTATCTTTTTATTTTTATTTTTTTTATGAAGACTGGGTCTCACTATGTTGCACAGGATTGTTTAAAACTCCTGGCCTCAAGAAATCCTCCTGCCTTGGCCTCCCAAAGTGCTGGAATTACAGGCATGAATCACCGTGCCTGACCTATTTCGGTCTTCTTCATATGCCCTTAACAATGTTGGTGGTTGTTGTTGTTGGGTTTTGTTTTTGTTTTTGTTTTTTGCTTTTTTTTTTAATTACTGAATAATTCTGCAAAGACTACGTTATTTTTTACATGTGATCATTTACATCTATGCTCAGTAGCTTAGTGGACTGTAAATTATTGGACAGAAATTTGGTTAAATGTGTAGAACCAATATTCTCCTAATCTTTGCTGAGGTGCTTTGTGTGTGTCTTCAAGCTTGTCTTCAACACTCAATTAAATGTCTGACAATTCTGTCTTAGCCCTCATTTCCTGCTTATATGAAGACTCAAGGTAAGCCAGAGGTGAGAGCTTACTGTTTTCCTAGGTCTGTTATAAGCATGGACAGAGAGCCTTGGGCATGTACTCAGTCCTGTGCATGCATGTGGCCATATAGATTCCCAGGAATACATCAGAGTTTTTCAAAGTTTATATAGACATCTCATCCTCCAGATTTTACTTTTTAGCCTTTTAGTTAGTCTACTGTTTGCTCCAACTGTTATCGATATCGTCAGCAAGCTGCAAAGTTAAATAATTGCCTCTCTCTCTCTCTCTCTCTATATATATATATATATATACATATATATGTGTGTGTGCACACACACACACATACATATAAACTTTTTTTTTACAAATGCCCCTGGAAGAAACAGCTTTTTGTACTGGGTTACTTCCAAATTAAACCAAATAATGACAGTTTTGCAAATGAGATCTTCCAGGGACCTAACAGGCAAGCAACATAATAGCAGTCCTATTGTGTGTAATTGAACCTTGTTTTGACACCTCCCATGGTTGCCAGCACAAGGATTTTCACCATGTTTGCAGATTGCTGATTTTCAAGCCTACTACAGAAACAGTAAGTGGAATGAAAATAGGGTAAGCTAAAATACCACAAATCTCACAGTTCTTACCAAGATTCTGCAATTTCTCTTGAGGAAATTCTCCCTCTATTATAAAAAATCTTTGATTAAATTTAATAGCTCTGAAAACATTGTTTCTGACAATTTTGCTGGTTTTCACATTGATTTTATTGATCACAGAATTCTAGAGCTTCTTACTTCACCATTTTCACTGACATCACCATCTGGTCCAGTATACTTACCAAGTAAAACACAGAATTTCAAAAATACCCACCCAAAGGAATGCACAATAACTTTGACATGAAAGATTTGAGCTTCGATTATTTATATTAGAGTTGTAGAATATTCTTAGACTCGACAATTCATCACCTTGTGGAGAGCATGGATATGGGCTATTGTCACGAATGTTTTTCTGTCTTGAAATAAGACAAATTATCTCACTTTCTAACTGAGAATATATCCATTGTTATTTTTGTCTGCCAAGAATTTATGAACCTTAAGCTTTGACTTGGATGTAGAAGAGGAGCTTTTTCCCACAGTATGCATAATAATCCAGATAATGTACAAAATTATACATTTTCAAGAACCTATCAAAAGACAACATAAGACACAATTTATACATGTAGTCAGGTTTATTCTATTACTGGGGCATTTACATTTTGAAATATCACTTTATTAACATTTTAAAAGAACTCTGAGAAGTGAAAACTCTGGATTTAAGTTTTTGTCTAACATCACGAATCACATAAACTTTCTGGGTTTCAGTTTATATTTAACATAATACAAAATAAACACTTGGACTGCCAAATTCTATTAATTTAAAGATGTAATTGTACTTATTTTAACTAAGTTATTTAAGCAACACTTCAGCTTTCCAACTTCAAACATTTCATTTAAGAGGATTTGCTAGAAGCATGTACTTAGAAATAAACATGTAGTATGAATTCTTGAATTCTTACCCATATGAATTAATAAACCCTTACTATAAGGCATGGAGACTCATGAAGCAGCCATATAATAAAACCCTAGACTCAATAAGATACCAATTTCACTTATAGAATGTGTGTTTCTGAGAAACAGTACACTGTTGAAAATCTTGCATTCAGCATATCTAAAAGTTTACCACATGTTTCAATCATAAGTAAATTAAGAAAATAATTTTAAGTTTCCTACATTGTCAGGAATATAGCCCAGGACTTTTTTTGTCAGTAATTTGTTTAGTTTACTATAATATGTAAATCTCAGATGTTTAAAACCTATATTTGAATGTCTTTAAGTCAAAATTTTAAGCCCAGATTCAACAAGAATAAATATTGTTATTAACACAAATGCTCTTTTTTAATTATTTGTTTACTTATTTATTTTTAATTGAAAAATAATCGTGTATATTTACAGGGTAAAATGTGGTGTTTTGATCTATGTACACATTGTAGAAAGATTCAGTCAAGCTAATTACATATGCATCATCTCAACAACTTATTTTTTGTGGTGAGACCCTTAGAAATATATAATTTTAGTAACTTAAAAATATATAATACATTATTACTGTGTTCAACATGCAGAGGAAAAAATCATTAAAACTTTTTCTTCCAGTCTAACTGAAACTTTGTACTCTTTGACTAATACTCTCTTTTTATGACCTTATAAAAATATATTTTATGCACTTATTAGTATTTATATAAAAGAATGTTCAAATTACTTCAGAAATCATATGAGGAATAGCCACAGTTGTGTAGTGAAAATTCTGTTTGGAAAAAAGTAATAAATAGATCTAAAATCAGCTTAATTTGAGTCCAATATTATTCAATACAACTGTGTTAGCATAACTTTATACTATAGACAATCGCTAAAATAAATTAACAATATTAATATTGAAATGCAACATAATATGAAACTAGCAGAAATATATCTCATAAATTTATATACAAATTCAAAAATATTTAAAAATACATATGTCACTTGGATTATACGTAAACCTTTATATTTGTGTATATATGTGTGTATATGTACATGTGTGTATATTCACTTACTATTTATATAGTATTTACTATAAGTGTATATACATATAGTAGGTGAGTATATGGATAGATATAAAGATACTGATGTGTTATTTTAATCTTCAAAATCTGAATCATGGATATTTGAAAAGGTCCAAATAACAAGCTTCTATTTTTTCATTTATGTGTTTCTGTGGGGAAGTTAAAGAATTTTCATAATTTATTGGTTCATATATCTGACTCCTTTCTTTTCTGCACGTCATGGCAAAAAGGAAAATTCAAAATTTTTATCTACTATTATGTTGAGTTCAAGAAAATATCCCGAAGTTCTCATGCATGCATCAAAATATAATCAGCTAAATTGTGTGTTTGTGTGTGGGTGTGTGTGTCTGTGTGTCTGTATGTATGCATTGAGTGTTGTTATTATCCCTATGAGTCTTCATATGCCATGCACTAAGGTCTGGGATAGACTTCAACTGAGACATGGCATTGGTTAATGAAGGGGCTTTACTGAGGAAAGAAAACTCACAAATTGATGGTCAGTAAAGAAAGGAGTCAGGACAAAAGTCTTCCTATTCTCTTATCATTCCATACCTTGGAGCCAGAGTAGAGGTAGATTTATGGTTTGGATCTTGATTCGAGTGAAGGGACCACTCTCCACCCATATTGTCCCATATATTCCATATTGTTTTTGGCACAAACTAGGAAACAATTTTGCTAAGAGGTGTAAAAACTAAACTGCCTGACACCTAGAACTCTAAGGTGCCAATTATTTAAAAGTTGTCTGAAAACACCAGCTGATCTGTCCCTGGAGACCGGGAGCAACATTGTGATCTTAGAGCTCCACTGACGGTGAGTGGCATATATGATGGGGGTTAACCAAAAATCCCATGCAAGATTATCTTAGGTGCAGCTCCTGCTGGGAGGAGGGGGCATTCCCTTACTACTGATAGCTTATTTTCCAGGCAACTTACAGTGAGCACTCTGGGTCATGTCAGACAATTCCATTTATTGAACTACTCTGAATTTGCTGCCTCTGTCAATCAAATTTAATATTTCAACTGACATAAAAAATTGAGCAATTTTTGTTTCCACTTTATTTTTCTTTTAGAACCTGACCTAGTTAACTGGTGACTGCTACTAATGTCAAAGTTATCCGATTTTTGATAAGGCTAGCGGGTCCTGCCATTTCATTTAGAGTTTATTCTGCATGGTGTATGCAATTGTTTTGAATGGCATGGTAAAGATGTTTTATTAACCCTAAGAAATAAGAGGTCAAATAAAAAACTGGTTGTCAGTAACAATTTTATATTGACAAGTGTCATGGCTGAAAATAACTTAGATGCGCCGGGTGCGGTGGCTCACGCCTGTAATCCCAGCACTTTGGGAGGCCGAGGAGGGCGGATCACGAGGTCAGGAGATCGAGACCATCTTGGCTAACATGGTGAAACCCCGTTTCTACTAAAAATACAAAAAATTAGCCAAGTGCGGTGGCAGGCACCTGTAGTCCCAGCTACTCGGGAGGCTGAAGCATGAGAATGGCGTGAACCCGGGAGGCAGAGCTTGCAGTGAGCCGAGATCATGCCACTGCACTCCAGCCTGGGTGACAGAGTGAGACTCCGTCTCAAAAAAAAAAAAAAAAAAAAAAGAAAAGAAAAGAAAAGAAAATAGATTAGATGCATAGAAGTATCTTTTTGGAATTGTAAGATTTCCAAAATTCTGATTTAGTTATACTGAAATAATCCAAACAATTGGTCATATCTCTTACGCAACAATTTTTTTGCAAGGGATTTCACAAATGTTTTACCTTCATAGTACCCAAGACATACTTGTTCTTAAAATTTATTGATTTTTATCAAAGAACATTGAATTAGAAATATTTGTAATTGTAGTTTAAACAAATTCAGAGACATTTAGTAATTTACTCATAGTCCAGATACTGAACAAAACTAGGCTTTCATATTCCAATTTTGTTTCAACCTTAGTACTAACTCTCTGACTTATAATCTTGACTTGTAAGAATAACCATCTGGGGTCATTCCTTTATTTGCTATTTCATTCTTTGGTCCTGTCACCACTACTCTAACTTCAGCTTATTATTTTCTCTGTCCATTTAATTCTGAGGTTTCATTATAATTATTTCCCTGGTGAACATACGTATGTGCCTTTCATCTTTATGGTGATATCTGCCATTTCTATAGTTGTCTGCATATTTTTTAATTGAAGTTTTCTGGAGAACTAGACCTCCACACATAAAGTCCTTCTGAAAAATCTGTCAGTATAAGTCTTGCCCTATTCACCCAGTTATTGGCAGTTAATAGAGACTGGCCAAACATAATGTTCGTGCACATACAGGGTTTTATTAAGGGATGGGAACAATGGAGGAAATAGAGCACTCACATGGGGATTGGCATGAATGCAGGGAAAAAGGGAATCTTTCAAACTTTTAGAGTTTTCAGGAGGTTATACATCTGGATTTAGTGAATATGGTCTCTACTAAGTGTTTAAGATCCTCCAGAAATGAAATAGATGGAAAAAATGAAAAATTTTAATTGTAATTCTGATTTATCTGAGGAAGGATAAAACATCGCACCTTAAACCTCCATTACATTAATAAGACTTAAGTCCTATCTCTTGAAATTGAACTTTCCTGCTTTGATTATCCCACTATGTGGAGGTTCTAACACTAGGTCCTTGCACATAGCTTTGATTTTAAGATTCTAAAGACAGCTAACTGAAGGTGAGTTATCTTGGGTGGTAGGTGAAGGAAAATATAGCCCAATTACACTAAAGGGTCTTTCAACTCATTTCAATATTGTTAGCATCAATATCCAAAGTCGTTAAAATTCTATAGCAGAATAGATCCAGTTGGTGAGCACTTACATTGCTTTTCCTCAATAAAAATAATAGACACGGTGAGAAACAAATAGGAGAAATCTAGAAGAGCTCTGAAAAACAGAAAACGGCAACACTTTAAAAAATAATTGGGTGAGCCGTGATCGTGCCTTTACACTCCAGCCTGGGGGACAGAGCAAGACTCTGTCTCAAACATAAATAAATAAAAATTGTATAAAATTTTGAAACCCTGTGAAGTGCAGAATAGAGCAATCATAATAGAATATGTAATAACCGAGGACTGGCAAATCACAGAGCTGTTGCAAAGATAAGATCAGTCTTCACCATGAGACCCCGGAGTGCCTTACTGCAAAGAATCAATAATTATAGGAAACATGGTTGAGAAACAGGCCAGTCCTTGAAGTAATTATTTAAAGCAAAAGCTTCAGTTCATTTGGGCTATACATAGTGACCTTGCTCAAAATGTTAATTAAAGATCTTGTTAGGTTCTTTGAGTTAAAGTTAACGATTAAACATTCTCTAAGCAAAATAATGATGTGCCCAGGAAAATAAGACTTTAATAAAATATTAAAGTTAGGCAGAAATCATAGTGAGAGTAACTGTGGAATACAGTAAAAAGACATATTTTTTTAAATCCTGAAAGTAATGGATGTTTCAACCAGAAATTTAAAATAATTGAAAATATTCTTAAACTTTCAGGTTTATACCTATAGTTTTGTGTATTACCTACCTCCTAATTGTTTATTTTATTTAGATAAAAGCCAATCCGGCAAAATTATTTGCCCCATAATTTAAACCCTACTTTAAGAAAATTATTTGTACACACAAAAATGTGCACATTATTGAAGAAATCTATGGCAGTCACTTATTCTATTTGCTATAAAATTTGATTTATAGTAAGGAGATAAAACAAAACAAGATCAGCCACTTTTTAATTTTAAAAAACTCAAAAAGGAATTATTTATTTATTTATTATTTATTTATTTTTTTTTTTTTGAGACGGAGTCTTGCTCTGTCGCCCAGGCTGGAGTGCAGTGGCGCCATCTCGGCTCACTGCAAGCTCCGCCTCCCAGGTTCACGCCATTCTCCTGCCTCAGCCTTCCGAGTAGCTGGGACTACAGGCGCCTGCCACTACTATTTTCTACCCCTTCTGTCTCTCCTTAAAGGGAAGTAATTTAAGCCTAGCAGGCTTCTGTGGAATCACAAAACACTTAGCAAATTTGCTTTGAGTCTTCAGTTCAATTAAAGGGCTTTGCTTGGTAATGATTGAATCTCTTTTCTTGGTTGCTAGTTATGGATGTGACAGCCATACCCCACTATTTTACCTTAGCTGCAAGCTGAGTTTTAATCTGCCTTGTTGATGAAAGACTTTGCTAATTGGATGACTGTTTGGGATTGAGAAGCAATAATTTATTCATGCCATACAAATTACTAAATTTGTGAAGTACTTCTATTTCTTTCCATTTCTAATTGCAAATTAGCTAACCATTTCTCAATCTTATCTTTCTTATAATACCTTTTCAAACACAGACAAGTGGAGCCAACCCATAACAGTAAAATTCAGTTTTTTTAATATCTTATCTGAGTACTACATATTTTGCTTCCTTATAGTGGAAATCATGTGTCCTCTTATAATAATTTTCTTTTTTCCAACAAATTTCTCATCTGAAAGTGACTCATATTTTATGATTGTTCTTATAGATGCATCCTGACTCTAGGTAGCAATTTTTATACTATTCACAAGGAAATTGATGACGCTACATACTCAAATATTTGATGGTTTAAAACAACAATGGATAATTTACAACTCATAGTTATGACCCTGTAGGGCTGACTGAGAGGATGGGGAAATATTCACTGTAGAACTTCACAGTTCACATCAGTATCATAGGAACTATCATAAACATTGCTGGTTGCCATGACAGAAGAAAATAGAGACTTCTGGATAACATAATACCAGCATTCGTATTGGTATCGATATGAAGCGATGTGAAATTTCTGCTCACATCTTATTGAATAGAACTTATCATATGGGCCTTCCAAACAAAAATATACTAGAAAGAGCTATCTGTTTGGAAGCAGAAGAGTCAGCAGGACTACATAATTAATCTGAGAAGCATTAATGATTATCGCTTAATGATAATTGTCTTTTAAAAGTAAGCAAAGATGCAAAGCATGCTAATTATGTATACTGAAAAGTAATAAAATATATACTATAGAAACAGAAAATAAAACTGTACAAGAAAATATATAGAATAAAAGAAAGCTTGTAACTTTGACACCAAAATTTGTAAGTTATAGTATATTATCATTAATGATATATCTGTGTAGTTTAATATGATTCTAAAATTGAATTATTTTAAAGAGAGAAATATGCTTAACGTACAGTCTTAAATTATCTATCCAAAATTGAATTAGCATGTAATGACAATATATAAGACAAACTAGAAGGAAACATTTGTGAATAAAAATAATAAGTATTTTTTAAAACTTTTAAATCCCAGAAACAGACAAGAAGAAATTGTTAATATCAATGTGGATGTGTGTGTATTTGTACACATATGTGTAAATAAACTGCTTTAATATTTATTACATGTTAATAGACACAAGATATAGACATAAGCAAAAAATTTAAAATGGTGATAAATAGCACACAGAAAAATGGTAAAAAAATAAATATAAATGTAGAATTCTCCTCTTCACTTTCTTCTCCGTAGAGCTATCAGAAAGAGAGACAGGTCATGGCAGCTCAAATACCATGATTTACTCCATATTTGACCCACATTAAAATCCAGAAATGTGACTGTGGCCTGTGTGAACTCTGCTCCCTCCTCTGGCCTTCATTTTTACTCCTTCTCCCTACCTATCTGTCTTCCTCCAATAGCTCCACCAACCCTCCCGCTGTACTGTTCTGGGAATATATTTTCATCACAGAGACTTTGCAGCTGCTCCTCCCCCAAATACCTACTGTTTTACTCCAGCACTATTTTCTCTTCTACACTAATTTTCAGATTATCAGAAAATGTATCACATGCTCCCTTTGAAAAAAAAGAAAAAGAAAAATTCTACCACTGTTTCCTTACCTTGAGTTTTTTCCTTATTGTACTATCAACTTCTGATATCTCATGCATTTATTGGCTTCTTTGTTCATTTTCTCAATTCATTTGAATGCTAACTTCATTAATTCTAATACTTAAAAATAATTCTTACAGCCAGAACCATATTACACAGATATGCACCTGGCTAATATTAGAGCTCAAAAATATTTTGCAAAAAGAAATATTAATGAATCTATCTTCTTGTCTTCTTCCTCCCTCTATTCAGCCCCTCCAGCCTGCTTGTCTGTCTTTCTCCCTTTCTTTTTTCTTTCCTTACTTTCTCTCTTTATGAATTACTATTTGAAATTACTATTAAAATACTCTTTAACAATTATTACTTTATAAGAATATGTCTACGAAGGCCTTGACTTAACTGAGGTTATTTGCTGGTTGCTAATAATAAAACTTCTGTGAAATCAAGATAACAATGCTGATAGAGTTTTATTCTGAGAGCAAGTGAGATTTTATAGAAGAGAGAGTATGAGGGAAAAAATTTTTCACATACTGCACAGACATTATTATACCTATTAGTGAATCTTTATTGATTGTACTTGTTTTTGTGTTAAATCCTACACTTGGCCTGTAACCCTACCTTTAAAAATTATTGTTGCACTGTTAAGCAATGTAAGCAAATTCATGAAATCATATAGGTCTATAAAATTTGCAGGACCTATATATATGAATACACACACAAAAACTGACATTAGAATTACTGGTAATAATCCTTTTATATTAAATAACTAAATGTGTAATTATTCTTGACACTTAAATGATAGGGATATTTGTGTAATGTAAATTTACACATTTAAAAAATAATAACTTCTCATGCTCCTCAATTTAAACATACTTTAAAGTTAGAGCTCAGACTACCCGACTGGGACCTCTTCTTATTAAGGTTGCTGCAATATTGCAGGCTCCTTGGTGTTTATGATGAAGCTTTATGTAAGTGGGCTCACTGGTGTAAGGGTTTTTTTTGCCCTTTAGCCTTCCCTAATTTTTGCTTGCAACCTTGGCCTGGTACTTGTTAGTCAGTATTTTGTGAAGCCAAGGCCACTAGCTTCACAAAGGATGTCTGAGAAAAAGAATGTGACACTGGATCTCTAAATCTAATACCATCAAAAATGCTAAATCTGCTCCAGACTACCATACTATGAATTTCTTGTTAGAGGAGAAATTGTTTTATTCATAAGCCATCATATTATTCATCGTTAGTTTTGTGGTTTGGGGTTTTTACAAAAAAACGCAGTTTTTTAAATCACCTATTCCCTCTTCTTTAAGTTTGTTTTTAAAAGAGAACTAAAAAAGCTAATGAACTAAAAAAGTTTTTTTTTTAAAAAAAAAGAACTAGAAATGCTAAAGAACTAAGAGTTAAAAGAAACTTTCATTTCGGCAAATTACAATTATATTTCTTCTTCAATGTTTACCTGGATATTAAAAAAGCACTTACCATTAACTATATAACCTTCTCTATAGAGTGTCTCAGTGTTATGGAAAGTAAAGTTTCAATTCAAAGTCTGCCCAAAATATAAAATGTCAACCCAAGCCTTATTTAAACACTTACTTATGCATGACAATGTGTCCTCTCATATAAAAAATATGTCACTTCTCAACCTAAAAAGTTAATTTAAACTCATTTAACATCACTTTTATTAGTGTTAAAAATGTCTTAAAACAGCAACTTATGTGTATTAGTCTGTTCTCATGTTCCTAATAAAATACATGCATGAGATTTGGTAATTTATAAAGGAAAGTGGTTTAACTGACTCAGTTCAGTGTGGCTGGGTAGACCGCAGGAAACTTACAGTCACGGTGGAAGGGGAAGCAAATATGTCCTTCTTCACATGGCAGCAGCAAGAAGTATAGTGTGAAGGGGGAGAAGAGCTCCTTATAAAACCATTAGATTTTGTGAGAACACTCACTATCACGAGAACAACCTGGAGGTAATCGCCCCCATGATTCAACTACCTCCTACCAGGTCCCTCCATCACATGTGGGGATGATGAGAACTACAATTCAAGATGAGATGTAGGTGGGGACAGAGCTAAACCATATCGGTATATATGTTTAAAAATAACGTCAAATCTCAAAAACACTAGCTGGAGATTTTAAGTATTTTGTGTAGTACCTAATAGTTGGCATGCATTCAAATCAATTTACTTTCCAAGAGCACACATTTTTATCACTCATAAAGATTAATGCCAGGCCATGATTAAAATGAAGTGTACAGCCCTGGAAGCTCACAGAATTTATCACACAACTCAGGGACAAGTCAATACTAATCAAGAGTTATAGAAGCATCATATAATGCTAGTGCCAAAAGAAACCTAGTAAACACAGATCAGATATAGAGGAATTTGCTGTTATGATTGCATTTGACAGACTACAGTCAAAAAGCTAAAGTCAATGATGTGATAATCAAGTTATATATATGTATATTTAGTTTATATATATGTATACACTTAGGTTATATACATATACACACATATATAATATTTGATATGTGTGTATATATATATATATATAACCTAAATGAATACATTTTAAAAATTATTCTAGAACTTGACCATCTCAGAAAACCAAGAAAAGAAGGACAGCAAGAAAGAAAGAGAGAAAAAGAAAAAGAATACTTTAATATATTTGCCTTATTTTCAGTAATATATACATTAAATGAATGAAATTATAAGGTAATTTTAGGCAATATAATTTATATTCTATTTTTCTTTTCTAATTTTAACTTACAATTTACAATCTCTAAAAGTAAATAGTCTATAACATGCGTAGACATATATGTGACCATTAGCTTTCTTAAAAGATGCCATATGTAAATGAATAAATTGTGCACATTGGCTTTTATCTATAATAATCAAAATTATAGAACTGGAAACACTTTTCTAGAAGAGAAACTTAACATCTGAATCAAATGGAAAATTAAAAACCTGTTTACCTGTTGCTGTGGTGCTGGGATGCAATCATACAGAGTTTACTCCTCTCAGCATCTTCTATTTGTTATTGATTCTGTTCCTACAACTGAAAGAAAATAATAGCACATAGTGCAGTGATTGGAAAATAGTATATATTCCAAAATATACTTGCTTTTCATGTAAAAATGTATAAATGACAACAAATAAAGGGAAGGGGACACTGAACCTAACATTACATCTTCTGGAATATAAATATAATAAATGTACAAATCTTTGGGGGAGGAAATGATTTCATCAAGAATGCATGCTTGATGAAAATTGTTTATATACACTGCTTTTTAATGCAAACTGGCATCATATGATTGATAACTCTTTAAATAACTCTTTGAAGACTTTTAAACTTCAAAGAGTCTTAAATCTGTAGGAAACTCTCCTACAAGTTAGTCTTTGGTATATTAAGAAATAATTTAGCTTTTGTCCCTAGGTTCCTGGCACAAACTTCCTAAAGCCCTTGGAATTTCCTGAGTAATAGGAGTGTCTGTGGTTATTCTTAACTAGCATCTTTTAATCACACCTAAGTTTATGCTAATGAAATGAATTAGGTTAGGGCCCCATGATAGCCTCAGGATGGGACTGCTCACCAGAAAGACCAAGTGGTGAGAGTGTTGGAACTTTCAGCCTCACTTACTGACCTCCAGGAAAAGGGTGGTGTGCAAAATAGGAAAGCTCTATAAAAATTTTTGAACTATGATACTGGCTGAGCTTCCAGGTCACTGAGTACATCCATGTGCTGGGAGGGTGGTGCACCCCACCTCTACAGCAACAGAAGCTGTTGCTCCATGTGCCGGGAGGGGGTACACCCCACCTCTACAGCAACAGAAGCTGTTGTGCTCAGGACCCTACTGACCTCATCATATGTACCTCCACATCTGGTTGTGTATCTGCATATTTTATCATATCCTTTTTAATCAACTGGTAAATGATAAGTAAATTGTTTTCTTCAGTTCTGCGAGCCATTCTAGCAAATTATAAAAGCTTACAAGAGAGTTGTGGGAGCCCTTGGTCAGAACTACAGAAGGTCTGGACTTCCAATTGTCATCTGAAGTGGGGAAAGTCTTGTTAAGACTGAATCCTTAACTTCTGGGATCTGCTGCTAACTCCATGTATATAGTGTTGGAATTGAAGTGATGTGTGGGACACCAAGCTGGTGTTGGAGAATTGGTTAGTGTGGGAAAAACTTGCATATCTGTTGTTAGAAGTGTTCTGTGTTGAATGTGAATATAGAGGAAAAATAGTTTGATTTTCCTTTAAATAACATATCAAATTCCCTTTCCGATATGTACTTATCATAATCTATAAAGATGAATGTATCATGGAAAGGACTGACTGATCATCAGAAAAATGATAAAAAGAAATATATTGACAATTGATACAGAAAAAAATAAAGATGAATAAGACATTCAGATTTGGAAAGGAAAATATCAAAGATAATAATACAAAAATGGACTGTCATCAAAACCTGGTTTTCAAAATTAAGCACATAGAAACAATAGAGCTATGTTAGAAATTTTGACAGAACACAACTGACCTACTAATTTTATCCATGAAAATAGTTATCTAGGATATTAGCATCCAATATTTTGACTATTTACTACATGTCAAGCACTATAACTGATATTTGTAAAATTTTTACTACTCCTACAAGTAGCTCAATGAGTTGTGTCTTTTTGTGTATTTTAACTGTGAAAATAGAAAAAAAAGACAAAATATCAATGAATAAAGAAAATTCAAAGGAAAGAAAAAATATCGATGCTTAAAATGTTTATGAAACTTTGCCCAAAGCATCTTAGTTTGGAATTGATGAATCTGGTATTTCAATCCTATCCTAACTAAATATAAACACAGCTTTTACAACCATTGTTAGTTGTAGGCAGAATGTCTTTAAAAGGACTACAAGTTGTTCTCATAACTGGAAATTTGAAAACGATACTAAACATATGCTATTAGAAAACATTTAAGTATCTACTACCTCCGAAGAAAAGGTAAACAAAATAATGGCTTTTTAAAAGAGAATAATGTTCTATTTGTTGGATTATGTTTCCATATAACAAATATAAACATTTATTTATGGTTTTCCCATAGCAAAATAAAAATGAAAATCTGTAATTTCCTTATATTGCTTCTTAAATTCACAGAAGTATATGAAAAAGTTTGCTGTACTTCCACTATGAATTATAGAGTTTCCACAGATGCATTTTATTATCCCCACTTTATGCATAGGGAAAATGAAATGCAGAGAGCATAGGTATCTCTTCCCCACACAATTATTAAAAGCAGTCGAGCTATCTTTTGAATTCATGCAGTCTGACTCCAGAGCTCAAGCTCCAACCAGACTAAGAAAAGACAGAAAATAGTAAAACTCAGACACATAGTGTTTAAAAATATTCTTTTCAAAGAGTGAATCAATATTAGTAAGTAAAATAGTTATGAAAATTTAATTCTCTTATTACAAATAGAAATATTTGGTATTGAAACATAGAAAAAGTCTGGTTATAAAAGTTATACCTAAAATGGATGGAGACAGGTGGATTTAATTTGAGGGCATGGCATGCTTTCAAGCTTGTTTCACCTAGACTTGTATTAATATTTCAGAAATGGTTTTCATGATTTGGGGAACCACTGCCTCTGAGCTTTCTGGGCTCTGTCCTCAGCACACATTTTTTTGTCCATTGTTCTAGAGAAATATTTATCTGATAAAAATTAGCATGTATCTATCGTTTACTCCCTAATTTGGAGAGTACATAGATAGAAGCCATACTATATAATTTAGAGAACACACGAGTACTCAGAAGTAGCTGTGTTTCAATGTGCCATGGCATGCAGCCTTCCAACTGCTCAAAAACTGATGAAGTGATAAGTATGAAAGAGTACATGCAGTTGTGACTAAAGCATGGTTGTTTAACTTAAATGACATGGCCACACATCTATGTTAACACCTCTCTGTCTGAGGAGGAGATAGAGGGGGAGAGCAGAGAGACAGAGAGAGAGAGAGAGAGAGAGAGACATAGATAGATATTACTTAACCCATCCAATCAGATCTCTAACTACAACAGCAGAGTTTCCAATGTTGAAATTTCAATCTATTTAGAGCTTTCCTAACTTTTTTTATTTTTTATTTTTTTGAGTCTGGGCTTTTAGTGTAGCCGTCACTTGAATAATGTACATTTTACCTATTAAGTAATTTATCATTAAAATAGATTCTGGACCTGATCTTCTGCCCTCTGATTGCAGGGGATGACAGTGAAGGAAGCTGTAGCTCTTTCACACTTCACTTTCAATTATTGTTGAATAAGATCTCATTGTTTTTCTCCAGTATGTAAATTTACCCCAGCAGCAATTGTACAATTGCATAATCCTTACAACTACTACTTTGCAAAAATTTGTTTTTTCCAATCAAATGCTTGGATTATTGTAACTGTCAATGTATTCCCTTCCTCTGATGTCCCAATAAAAAAATTGTACCATGACAACATGCCTTGAACTTTTCAAGATCTATCTACCATTGATACAGCCAGCCAGTAGGTGTCCTAGTTCCCAAACTCCATTCTTTAGACTGCTTCCTCAAACCACTCCTGGCAACAATTGTCTTGGATCTGAGTCTCCGAGATGATTTGCCTCCAGAAAGTTTATTGGGTAGTT
Source organism: Homo sapiens (assembly GCF_000001405.40). Lineage (NCBI taxonomy): Eukaryota > Metazoa > Chordata > Mammalia > Primates > Hominidae > Homo > Homo sapiens. The sequence continues at coordinate 86,447,566 of NC_000013.11, read as the reverse complement.
CCTTGATATTAGAAAATTATAGTCATTGCTGGGAGTAGAATTGGACAGAGTGAGAAAACTACAATGCAGTTGCAGCAGTCCTGCCTTGAGGCAGTTAGCCTGGGCCTGTATAAACCTGTATTGACCCATTATTACATGTTGGCAGCCCTGGAGAAGGATGACATCACGTGAAGCAGCTCTCTCTCTTTTTGACTCTCAGACTAAGCTGAGAGCATATTCACCATAACTCCAGAACTTTTGTGAATGAGTGTCTCATCCCTGAAAGTGTGAAAGGTCATGCAGCAGAAGTATATAGTAATTATGTACAAGTAATTTTAACTTCCAGAACTATTTTACAATTTCATATTGGTCCCAAGTAAGAGGTTTTCTTCCTGGTTTTTTTTGTGCATAATTTTATTTGTGGTGTGTGCGTGTGTGGGGGGGTGTATACAGATGGTCCTTGAGATACAATGGTTCTATTTCCTATTTTTTAACTTTACAATGGAGTGAAAGTGATGTGCATTCAGTGGAAACTGTGCTTTGAATACCCAAACTACCAGTTTGTTTCTCACGTTCAGTACAGTATTTAATAAATTTCATGAGAGAGTCAACATTTTATTATGAAATAGGTTTTGTATTAGATGATTTTGCCCAACTCAGGGCTAAGGAAAGTATTCTGAGCATGCTTAAGGCAAGGTAAGCTAAGCTATGATGTTCAGTAGGTTAGGTGTATTAAATGCATTTTCAACTTACAATACTTTCAACTTATCAAGATGTAATCCCATTGTAAGTAGAGTGTGTATGTTTAGGACATGTACAGTGTGTATGTTTAGGACATGTACATATACACTTACAAAACACAATTCATCTATAGCCATCCATGAAGTTCAAAGAATACATTCTGCTTTCATTGGGAAGATGTCTACCTAAGACCTCAAATATGAAGGAATCTAGTCCGAGGAATGAGGCATCAAGCTAGCAATGCAAATATGGGAAGACCATGACTTGCAGAGGGGAGGAGGCGAGGGAGTGGCTGAGTCTTTGGCTGCAACTCCCATCAGAGACTGCAATAAGCTGGCTGCATGTCAGCTCCCCTGGTGTGAGGAAGCCAGCTCTCCCTGTGAGGCCTGCCAGTTAAAGCCTTTGTTATTGCCTGTGTTTGGGCCTCAAAAATCACAAATATACTTTTAACCTGGAGCCAGAGTCCTCACTTGATATTTGAGCTTGTATATTTCTCAATAAGTTTTATTTAATAATGTCAGATCAGCTTCCTTAAACCATGGTTCATTGCCATTCACTGAAATGCAACTCAATATTTAATTCCAAATGTATCATATATTCCAGAGAGAATAACACCTACTGCCTGCACTTTGAAACCAATTTCAATAATTTATTGAGTTTTCTATTTCCCAGCTGAAGAAAGCAAAAATGACTAGCAAAAAGAAAAGAAAACAGTTTACAGAATTAAAGGAAGAGCTTAGTCACAAGAATTTTACATATTTTGTGGAAATAGAAGATCTCGGATTGCAGCAACAGAAACTTCATTTTGTTTTTCTAAGAAGCGAAGGGAATGATTTACCACCTTTGTGCCCCAAGTTCCAACAGAGATTATTATATTAGTCTGGATTGTGTCATATGATGTAAGAAGTGTAGCTGTGGGTCTGTGTCTTTAGGGATTAATGTTTCCCACCCTAACGTTTTATTATGAACAATGTTGGAACAAATACCTCTGGGCAAACAAAGAATGGTGAATTCCACAATTCTCACATTTGAATCACTACCCATGATTTCTATTCTGAGTCAAAACTAACAATTACATTAGATAATAGATATTTATATATCTGTTTGCTGTACAGTCTGGGCAAGTATATGCTTCTGATTTCCCCTTGCAGCCTCTCTCACCCATTTTCACCATAGTCTTTCTGGAATCACTAAAAAATGTAATGTTATGTCATGTAATCTAAACAAGAAACACATGAATGATTTATAAATATCCACAATTTTACTGCTAAAATTTAAACAATCCCATGATGTTGATTTTTTTCTTAGATTATCCCCAGTATAAAATATTTTGCCTCCATCCCAAATACTTTGTTCATTATATTATTCCAGGACAATTGTAATATGCTTACAGCAATATCCATATCTTCCCCTGATGACATAATGGTACTTGTGGAATGAAGAATTGAATAACTCAGGCCAGACGCAGTGGTTCATGCCTGTAATTCCAGCACTTTGGGAGGCTGAGCTGGGTAAATCACTTTGAGCCCAGGAGTTCAAGACCAGCCTGTGCAACATGGCAAAACCTATCTCTACTAAAAATACAAAAACTAGCTGGCTATGGTGGTGCATGCCTGTAGTCTCAGCTACTCTGGAGGCTGAGGTGGGAGGATAGTTTGAGCCTGAAGAAAGGTTGGAGTAAGCCAAGATTGTGCCACTGCACAACTCCAGCCTGGGTGACAGAGCCAGACCCTGTATAAAATTTTAAAAAAGAAAGATTGAGTAACTCATTCCTAAATGTTTGCTCTAAAAATACAAAACCTTTGGTCATGGTCATTCACATGCCATTAATAATATCTCAATTTTCTAGTAGTACTGTTACACTTCTGTCTACGTATTCACTACTAACCACATCAAATTGCCTGCCTTTAAAAAATACATCATCTAACCAAGGTGAATTTGAATATGTAGATTAAATACACTCACACAATCATTCACTGGCATAATTTTAGAATATTTTTCTGGCATCTCATTTTTGTGTATTTTTGTTTGCTTTGTTCTTTTTCAATTTTCTTTTCATTTATTAGGTTTTTGCTAGAGTTGGGAACGTTCTATTTTTATTCTTCTAATTGGCAATTAACTTATTGTTAACTATTTGAAGTATTTATTTTCTTCAATATTTCCATCCATAATTTCACTCAAACACCCAAACTTCATCTGCTTTTATTTCTTCTATATGAAAATTTTAATTACATGTATTTATGTACATGCATTTAGTTATGTATGTATGTGTGTGTGCATGTGTGTATGACATCTACTGTATATAATTTTCTCATTTTAGACTGCTTTTAGAATATAAGTAAATTTGAGTCATCTTTTAGAAATATCAGTTTCTTCCAGTATTTATCTTTTTACTTAAGTACTCTTTATACAAATATTTTTTAAAAATTGGTTGTTATGTTGCTAACTTTCTAAAACAAGGTATGTTTGTCATTACCTGCATTTCACACTCTTTTTTAAATGATGACTTGATAATATTCAATTTTTATATCACAGTTGTTATCCATAGAAACCTGAAAACTTCAGTCTTGTCATGTCTCTCTTGCCTTTCAAAACTCCATTGTTTGCATTCTTGGTATTATTAAATAGAAGCATGTTTTACTCTGCATTTTCAGTCATCAGTGACTCCTCTTGGTTCTGGCTCCAGATAGGAAGCAATTTTTACCAAAGCCAACTTAATCACACTGCTTCAAATGACCGTAAGACTCTCCTAGAATTCTATGAAGTCATTGATTTTATGCCTTCGATTTTCCCCGTCAACCACACTTCCCAATAAGTGAGATTAGTAAATGAAATTCAGACTCTAGTGTTACCTTCCTTAAAACATTCCAATATCTTCTCATTGATCATAGAATTATCCATGACCATGACTTCCAAGGCCTGGTAAGATCTGACCTCAGTCCACGTGTCTGTCACATCTAATGGCTTTTTCCTTGAAGACAATGTTTCAGCTTTTCTGCCTATTTTGCAGAAGACGGAATAATTTTATGTGTAGGGAGCGGAGAGTGTGGGGATAATATCTATTTTCTTTTTTTTGTTGTTATGCATTTGTAGTGACTGAATATTATTCAACTATCTGTCCTATGTTGAATCCTTAGAGAAGATGTGCCTTTCAATTGAGAACTACCTAAAGTGACCAAAAGGCCAGTCAAATTCTACTTAGTTATAATATGGTCCATGCCTTTTTTTGCTTGTGTATTAACTTACCTACTTGGAATATAAGCTTTATGAACATCAAGACCTTCTTTACTGTACACTACTATCTCTCTAAATAGATACACATAGAAATATAATCTATTTAAATTAAAATAGACATAAACACTGTTTGCTATTTTAAACAAAAAAGTAAAATATGAACTTTTATATTTTTCATAAAAATATTAGTAACAAATATATAATGTCATTTTAAATACAGAAATAAAAGAGTGGCTTGTATTTTTGAGTACACTTTGACTATATCCCTATTTGGCTGTTAACTTTATGAAACTTGTGAATAATCTGCCCAAATATTGCCCAAATAAGGTTGATTTAAATATTGATGATCCTGAAACCTAATTGTGAGAATTAAAATTAAATTATCAAAATACCTATTAACATTAAACTATATAATTTTTTAAATAATAGTTATACAAAGTATTTACTCCCTGGTGATTTCAGCCTGAAGAATTGCATACCTTTTAATTATGTATTAATCTTACTATTTTAAATTCAACTGGAAGTCTGGTCATGCTACATCTGGTAATTTTAAGTAATCTCTTAAGAAGAAATAAAAAGTTTAAAATCAAAACAGATTCATGTGTATGAGGTTGGGAAGATTTTTTATTTTATATCTATAAATCAGAAGCTTTGTAGAAAAAAATGAAATAAGACTTGTTGCTTTTGCAAAATAAAGTTAATTAAACATTTCTATCAAACTAATACACTTTTTTGAGATTCAAGAGCTTAAAGGTTTTTAAGAGAGTAGCTACTTTGAAGTTAATGGTAAACTAAGTAGACCAACATTGCTATTTTGAGCCATTCACCCCTTGAGAAATTACAAAACTTTTAGTTTTTTATTTAAATCATTCACGTAGGATTTTAAAGTAACAAATTTAGAGTATTTAAAACTTTTATTTTAGTGTACAAATATTATATTGAGCACAAACAAATTCATTTATTGTTTTGATTTTATCCAAGATGAAGATTACATAAATGACATGAAGCAGGAGCATATGATTTTCAATAGATTCGATTAAACACATTGCCAGTACTATAAATGTTCAATAAAAAAAGCATTATGCAAATTTTAGTATTTAATCCAGGCACAGTAGCTCACGCCTATAATCCCAGCACTTTGGGAAGCCGAGGTGGGTGGATTACCTGAGGTCAGGGGTTCGAGACCAGCCTGGCCAACATGGTGAAATCCCGTCTCTACTAAAAAATACAAAAACTAGCCAGGTGTGGTGGCATGCACCTGTAATCACAGCTACTTGGGAGGCTGAGACACAAGAATTGCTTGAACCTGGGAGGCAGAGGCTGCAGTGAGCCGAGATCATGCCACTCTACTCCATTCTGGGCAACAGAGTGAGACTCCATTTAAAAAAGTTAAATAAAATAAAATAAAAAAATTACAGTATTGACCTCTCTTCCTTTTTTAATATAAAGGAGGTCACATTAGTAACCTAAATGAGTTTTTTTGTTTTTAGTTTAACTGTATGAAGAGAATCTTTCTTTCCAAATTAATTTATGTGAGGCAGTTTAGAGAAGTAGTACATTCATAGGATTAGGGATGAGATTTAACTGAGTTTAATTATGGTTTTCCTCTGACTAGCTTTGTACCTTCTAACATACTATGTAAATTCACCCTGAGCCACAGCTTTTACATAAAAAATTGACAAAATTTAATTATCATAACTTCCTATAGCTCATGCAAACATGTAACACAGCTAACTGTAGACCATGTGCATGATAAAATTAGATGGAATGAGTTCTTAAGACAACTTCACTCACCTTGTCTATGACTCATTCCAAACAATTTCCCCCAAAGCAAAAGTTACATGTGTGAGTGTGTGAATATACAGGTGTGCATTATTTTTAAAATATACATTATTTTCTGAATGATTCTTATTTGAAAATAAGTAAATTTAATAATTTATGGGGGAAAAGATTATAGTGATACTTTCACTGTTTTTTATTTAATGTTTTACTATCTTCAATGTAGGGATTGAATATGAGCACATTTCCTAAAATATAGTGCCAAATGCAACAATGTTTCATTGTTTCCATCTTTAAAATCTTTGTCCCATGAATCCACATTATTCTAAATTTGTATTTAATGTCTTTCATATAGCTGGCACCGTGATATCGTTTGGAAATATTGTGACAACTTTAGTATGTCCTTTGACTTCAACTACCTAGAGAGACAGAGATCAGCAAAATAAAATTAGTATTAAATATGGTAAGAATCAGGAGTGGCTTCTCAGAAGAGGTGACTCTGAGAAAAATCCTGTAGAGTAACACAAAATTGGGAAAATAAGTACATTTCTGATCATCTTAGAGAACAAAGAGAGTAAAGCTTTCCTTAAATCTCAAAAGTTAGAGAGTGTAGCAATCATTGAGAAAAGATATAATGTAAGTGTGATGGTTAATACTGATTGGCTTGAAGGATACAAAGTATTGATCCTGGGTGTGTCCGTGAGAGTGTTGCCAAAGGCGATTCGCTTTTGAGTCAGTGGGCTGGGAAAGGCAGACCTACTCTTTATTTTGGTGGGTACAATCTAATCAGCTGCCATCATGGCTAGTATATAAGCAGGCAGAAAAATGTGAAAAGAGAGACTGGCCTAGCCTCCCAGCCTACATCTTTCTCCTGTGCTGGATGCTTCCTGCTCTCAAATATATATATACATATTCACACATATATACATATATATTTATATATATAGATATATATATATTTATATATAAATGGAATATATATCTATATAATCCATTAGTTCTGTCCCTCTAGAGAATCCTAATATAGTAAGTTTGTGTGTGTGTAGGTGTGTGTGTGTGTACATATGTTTCTGAGTGGATGCTGGGAAAAGATACTAAGTATAGTAGAGGGAAGGTATTAGCTTAGATAAATATAAGAAGGTAACTTGAAAAAGAAAAGTAAATATGAGTCAATTTGTCCTGTTAGTTATAAAGATATTTAAGCCATGTGTAGTCATTATATAAATTATATAGAAATATACTAACAGGACATGGATCAGTGCGGGTGTTTCAGAAACCAGCCTTCTCTTCTATTGAAAAGAATCATAACCAAAGGGGTGGCTGAAAATTACTGTATGAAAGATGGATTTCATGGAAAAGCACATTGACAATAAGTATTAATGTGGAAAAATACTCTCTGTAAATATTGAATCCAGGTGGATTCGAAATTTAAAAAGAAATCTTAATTTTATTAGTATCAGGAGGAATGAGTATTTCTCAGAAAATGTACCCAAAATACAAAGCATAAAGTACATATTTATTCATTTTAAAATATTGAAATGAAAACTTATTTATACAAATAAACACTCTAAAATAAAGTAAGAAAAGTCAGACAATCATTAGTGAGACAATTTAAAACATATGTAATTGACAGAAAAGTAGTATTCACAATGTTTTGGATTTTTTCATCTTCTAAAAATGTATAAGAAATGAGAGTATGACAAGAAATGGGCAAGACATTTTACATATAACAGACAGAAAAGGCAAACAAGTGGCCAAGGAAAGCATTATAGTTTTCAATGGCATAATGAGGCAAGGAGTTCAGATTTTAAAAATGAGTTATGATATATAACATTTATTGGCAAAATTTAAATGTTTGCTAATACTAAATCTTGAAGATAACTGGGAGAAATTATCTTTGAAGGTAGGATAATGTAGAGGTGAAGGGGAAGTTTTCCCTTTGCCTTCTGAAGGTTTGCTGAAAAATCATCCAGATTAATTGAGGAGAGAGACACAAAATGTCTTATTAACATGTACGTGGGAACCTTCAGTATGAAGACCCAAACATACAGAGGAAATTGTCCATTTTTGTGCTTGGATTTATCAAACTATAGATGGCCATGTAGAAATATGATAGACAAAAGGGGTATAAACCAATGTTATGAGACTGAGTGGGGAAACCCAGCAAGACCTGTCTTTCTAGATTCTTCTTGGCCTCTCTAACCATGCATTTCTGGGTATGGGACAGAATTCTTTCTGGGATGGAGTCTTACGACCTACAGTCAAACAGTGTAGGTCAGATAATTTCTTTATGGTCAACTATCATAAAGAAATGTAAAAAGCAGTTACAGTAATATGTTTAAGTTTTATGGCTGACTTTGGGGAAAAGTGGTTCTGGTTTCTATGCCCTGCCTTGGGAAAGAGGAATTCTAGTTTCTATGACCTGCCTCACGGGAGAATGAGACTGAAAGACAGGAGGGCAGAAGATCAGAGAAAAACTTTTGCTTCTGAGACTGCTTCTGAGGGTTTCTTTTGGAGTATTGTTTCCTGAGTCTCAAGAATAACCATTTAGCAATGTCAAGTAAATTTAAAAATTCTAATTTTCTAAGATACAGCATTACCAATTGCAAACAAATGCCCTGGCAAAGATACATAAATAACTGTTTGCCCTGTGTTCTCAGCTTTCTGATCAGAGCATTAAAAATCATTGATTTGCCATTCATTTAGTTTTCTTTCTAATCTAAGTATGAAAGTGACAACATTCTAGCTTTTTACATGATGGAGCTAAAACTGGAAGTCTTTAATTTACTTGTTTGATCAGAAGGAAAATACACTTATATTCTGTAAAAATAACAATTTGAACCAATGCAGAAGTATTAACAGCTCCTTCTGTATTTCTAGCATAACACATGGTAAAACACATAAGAAATCCAGCGACCCACCCCAATCCCCCACCAATATAAAAAAGTGAGTATGTATGTACTCATTCTCACATAGTACTTCAGAAGTTCTCTACAGCCTTATTAAGTGTGGTCAATAGTACAAAAAAAATTCACATCATCTGTGAGCTTCTTAGAAATGCAGAACAGCTTTTCTAACAAATGTTTGGCCTTTTTTTTCTGACTTGTCAACCTGAAATAATCAACAGAATCAGGATTCAGTTTAAAAGAGTTTATTCAAGTGAAAACCTTCAAATAGCCATTTGGGCAAAATGGACACTAAAGGAATGCAGTCAGTGCTCCAAAGTTAAAAGTTAAGGTTTTACTTAAATAGGCAGAGAACAAAGAAATTTAGAAAATTAATAGCATTTACTCTACAAGCCTGGTTTATGAGTTAAAACAACTTAATTAGATACAGTTTGTTTACTTTTCCCATACAGTTATTTTTTCAGCTTGATTTTTATTTTTTCCAATTGAAAAGAGTGTATTTAAAATTACATCTTAGACAATGTGAGGTCATAAACTCTGTGTGAGAGAGGAAAAAGAGAAGCTACTCTATAATGAAGATCAACAGTTAAAGAGGAAAGGGTATTCTCTAGTGCCTTCTCATCATTTACAACATTCTATAAAACAATGCTGGTAAGGAAAAGACTAATCTATAATCAGAGAAACAAAGGTTAAAGCTGCCCAGGTTGCAGCTGCCTGTTTTGGTGACTCACATTCAATAATCACGTTCCCTTAAGGCTCAAAATGATTTAGTTTCAACAGTTCCAATTTTGAATTACTTATTTTCACAGACTCATGGAGTTCTAGGCCAATCCTTTCCAGCAGAGCCCTGTCTTTCTAATAAAGCTCTATGACTTCCACTTAGCAGAGAAGACAAGTCCGTAAAAAAAATTTGAGTTGAATTCCATCTTATCCTAGCAAGTCTTCTTAATTTAGTGTGTTGTCTCCATAAACTAGCTTAGTAAAGCAGCCCTGGTTTGGGACCAGGATTTCTTAACTTTAATAAATTCATAAAGTACATGAATAAGACACTATTTAATCAACCAGCAATTTTCAAATACGTTCTACACTGAGTACATGTCCTGCTCAGAATATAGAGTCAATGTTCAGGAAACATCATGATTAACACTCATCCAAAAGGTATCTATACTTCACAATGTTTTTATAGCCATTTTTTTCAGTTTATCAAAGAGGAGAAACTATATCTAAAAAATTATTGCATATTAAATACCATAGAATTATATATATACTAAAAGTATTTAAAATTCATAATTTTATATAAATTTATACAGTTTGAAATTAGTGCTTTTTTATTTTTATTTTTATTTTTTGAGAGAGGCTTTCTCTGTGTCACCAAGGCTGGAGTACAGTGATGTGGTCTCAGTTCACTGCAACCTCCACCACCCAGGCTCAAGCAATCATCCCATTTTAGCCTAGCAAATAGCTGGGACTACAGGTATGTACCACTATGTCCAGCTAATTATATATATATATATATATATATGCACACAATATATATATTATATAAATAATTATATATAATTTACATATATTATATATTATTCACATATATTATATATTATTTGCATATATTATATATTATATATAATTATATATTATATATAATTACATATTATATGTTATTCACATATATATTATATATAATTATATATTATATATTTTATATTATACATAAAATTAGCTATTATATATAATACACATTTACATATTATATATAAATATGTTATATATTTATATAAAATATATAATATGTAATTTATATAAAATACACAAATTTATATAAAATATGTAAATATTTATATATTTTTATAAAATAGGTAATTTTTATTTATATAAATTTGTAAATTTTTATATAAAATTTACATATTTATATAAAATATGTAAATGTGTATTATATATATATTTATATAATATATAACTATATATATAATTAGCTGGACATAACGGTGCATACCTGGCACCTATAAATATTATATTTATAAATATATATAGTAGAGATGGAAATTCACCAAGTTTCCCAGGCTGGTCTCGAACTCCTGGACTGAAGCAATCCTCCTGCCTTGGCCTCCCAAAGTATTGGTATTAGAGGCATGAGCCACTGCACCTAGCCCAAATTAGTGCATTTAAAATGTGTTTGAAATATTCAAAATTAACATTTGTGGATGCTTATTATTAACAAAGATGGATAGCAATTTATAATATTGTCAAACAGATGTCCTGGAAAGAGAAAAATTAGTAATATTATCTAAGTTTGTTTTTTTAATTCTCTGTATTACTCTTTATCATAGATAATTTAGAGTCAAAGAGAATAAAACTACAATCACAGCAAATACTAGCACTCGTTGGATATTAATTATTTCTAAAAAATCTTCCAATAAATGCAGTCAGATGGTCATGTATGGATCACAGAGATAAGCATCATTATCACTTTCAAACGAGTGGGGAAACTGAAAGAAACTAGTAGGCTTCTCTGCCTTGCAGGCAATTGATATTGTTCAAGAAGTTGAAAGGTATTTCTCAAATAAAGTAATGTGCTACTTAACAACATTAAAATAATCCTCAACAAATGTATAAGAACCAAAATCATAAAAACATTATCTATGAGTATTGTCAGTTATAAATGTATATCTATCAGTCTGTCTATCTATGCAGATGTAAATGTAGAGAAGGATTTTTTTCTGAGGAGTTATTTTGAAAATGTTAGAAAAAATGTCTAACAATGAATTTAAAAACTAGACAAATTGAAAAATATCTTACAACATTGCAAGTTTCTATAACGGACTGCAGAAGAAGTACAAAACCTGAAGAGGCCAACATTTATTAAATCAATTAAACCAGTTAGTTAAAACTGTACTCTCTTAAAAAAATGAAAAAATAGTAATAAAACAATATGTATAACTCCCAGATTGTTTTATAGGCAACATCTCTAAAATTTTCTAATACCAATATTTTTTATTATTCTAGAAAATAGAAAAACCTGGATAATTTGTAAGTCTAGTATGACCACAATACCAAAATACATACAATATATCAAAGAATAGGACGAATGAATTAAGAAAATTGCTGGTGTAAGATTTCCGGGAATTGATTAGAAAAATTCCAATGATATGCCAGTTAACTAAATAAAATATATCAATGTAAACCCACTAAAAAGTAATGGCTAGGTAGGGAAGATTTACAGACTGCAATAATGTTTTAATGTTACAAAAACCTGTTGTATTATTCTGTTCTCATGTTGCTAATAAAGACATATCTGAGACTGGGTAATTTATAAACCAAAAGAGCTTTAATGGGCTCACAGTTCCACATGGCTGAGGAGCCCTCACAATCATGGCAGATGGCAAAGGAGGAGCAAAAGTACTTCTTACATGAAGGCAAGCAAGAGAGTTTCTGCAGGGGAGCTCCCACTTGTAAAACCATCGTATCTCATGAGACATATTCACTACCATGAGAACAGTATGGGGGAAACTGCCCCCATGATTCAATTATCTCGATCTGGACCCACCCCTGACATGTGGTGATTATTACAATTAAAGGTGAAATTTGGGTGAGGACACAGCCAAACCATATCGTTCCACCCTGGTCCCTCCAAAATCTCATGAACTCACTTTAAAAACCAACTGTGCCTTCCCAACAGCACCCCCCAAAGTCTTGACTCATTTCAGCATTAACTCAAAAGTCCATAGTCCAAAGTCTCATCTGAGACAAGGCAAGTCCCTTCTGCCTACGAGCCTGTAAAATCAAAAACAAGTTAGTTACTTCCTAGTTACAGTGTGGGTAAAGGCATTTAACAAATACACTCATTCTAAATGGGAGAAATTGGCCAAAACAAAGGGGCCACATGCCCCATGCAAGTCCAAAATCCAATAGGGCAGTCATTAAGCATTGAAGTTCCAAAATGATCTACATTGACTCCATGTCTCACATCCAAGTCACTCTGATGCAAGAGGTTGGGTCCCATGGTCTTGAGCAGCTCCATCCCTGTGGCTTCGCATCATACAGCCCACTCCAGGCTGCTTTTGCAGGCTGGCATTGAGTGTCTGCAGCTTTTCCAGGAGCACAGGTGAAAGCTGTCAGTGGATCTACCACTGTAGGGTCTGGAGGACAGTGGCCCTCTTCTCACAGCTCTACCAGGCAGTGCCCCAGTGGGGACTGTGTGTGGGGTCTGTGACCCCACATTTTCCTTCTGCGCTGCCCTAGCAGAGGTTCTCCATGAGGGCTCCACCCCTGCAGCAAACTTCTGCCTAGACATTCAGGTGTTTCCATACATCGTCTGAGATCCAGGCAGAGGTTTCTAAACCTCAGTTCTACACTTTGTGTACCCGCAGGCTCAACACCACTTGGAAGGTGACAAGTCTTGGCACTTGCACCCTCTGAAGCCACAGCCTGAGCCTTAGCCATGGCTGAAGCAGCTGGGACACAGGGCACCAAGTCACTAGGCTGCACACAGCTGGGAGACCCTGGGCCAGGCCCAGGAAACCATGTTTCCCTCATGGGCTTCCAAGCCTCTCATGGGAGGGTCTCTGAAATGTCTGGAAGACATTTTCCCCATTGTCTTGGCAATTAACATTCAGCTCCTTGTTACTGATGCAAATTTGTGCAGCTGGCTTGAATTTCTCCCCAGAAAATGGGGTTTGTTTTTTTTTCTATCACATTGTCAGCCTGCAAATTTTCCAAATGTTTATGCTCCGCTTCCTCTTGAATCCTTTGCTGGTTATAAATTTCTTCTGCAAGATACCTCAAATCATCTCTCTCAAGTTCAAAGTTCTGCAGCTCTCTAGGGCAGGGGTAAAATGCCACCAGTCTCTTTGCATAGCAAAAGTGACTTTTACTCCAGTTCCCAACAAGTTCCTCATCTCCATCTAAAACCACTTCAGCCTGGACTTTATTCTCCATATCATTATCAGCATTTTGGCCAATGGCATTCAAGAAGTCTCTAGGAAGTTCCAAACTTTCCCACATCCTCCTGTCTTCTGAGCCTTCCAAGTCTCTAGGAAGTTCCAAACTTTTCCAGATTTTTCTATCTTCTTCTGAGCCCTCCAAACTGTTCCATTATCTGCCTGTTACCCTGTTCCAAAGTCACTTCCACATTTCTGGGTATCTTTAGAGCAGCACCTAACTCTACCAGTACTGATTTACTATATTAATATGTTCTCATCCTGCTAATAAAGACATAACCTGAGACTTTATAATTTATAAAGAAAAAGATATTTAATTGACTCACAATTCCACAGGGCTGGGGTGACCTCGCAATCATGGCAGAAGGCAAGGGAGGAGCAAAGGCAAATCTTACACGGAGGCAGCCAAGGAAGTTTGTGCAGGGAAACTCCCATTTATAAAACTATCAGATCTCATGCGACTTATTCACTACTAGAAGAACAGTATGATGGAAACCACCCCTATGATTCAGTTATCTCCATCTGGCCCTATTCTTGACATGTGGGGATTAATATAAATCAAGGTGCAATTTGGGTAGGGACACAGCCACACCATAATCTGTTAATGAAATTTATGAAAATCGTGGGCTAAATACTAATCATAGAAGGATCCCAATAATCCAGAATGCTGTTTTGAAAAGTACTGTTTAAACATGGAAGATAAGAGAATTTTCTTAACTTGATAACTAGTATTACTATCAAAGTACTACAAAGATCTTCCTTATGTTTAAAACACAAGTATTCTCTTTACAAGGATGCCTTATCACATTGCTTATTTGCAACATTGTGGCAGTGTATGTTCAAGCAATGTATACTAGTGAAGAGAAAATGTGTTTATGCTGTAATATTATAAAACATTATAAAATCAAAAAGTTATTCATATATAAAAGTATAAGAAAATACAATATAATAATGCATTATTATATTTAATTGACTTACAGTTCCACAGGGCTGGGGTGACCTCACAATCGTGGCAGAAGGCAAAGGAGGAGCAAAGGCACATCTTACACAGGGGCAGGCAAGGGAGTTTGTGCAGGGAACATTATTATAGCCCTATGACTTTACCTAAGAAATACATAAATACATAAAATATTTTTAAGAAAATTATTTTTATTACAGATGTACTACAATAAATAATTTTAAATTTAGACATGGAAATTCTCAGAGTCATAAATTTGTCATTGCTGCAAATAAATATGATTCTAATCAAAATTTTATATTTTTAGATAATTTGATTTTATATATATATACAAAAATAAAATTGTTAAGTATTTATGAAGAAGCTTAGGAAAGATAGATATTCCCTATAAAATTATAGCATTCATTACAGTATGGTTTTACTTCACTATATGATTCAAAATAAAAGTATATCCCTATGTTATACTATGCACAAAAATAAATTCCAGATAAATGTTACAGTCAAATTTGATGTGTAAGTGTTCAAATCATTTAGAAGAAAATACAGGTCATTACTGCCTGCCAGGAGGGCCTTATGATTTCTCTCAATTTTGGTAGAGTTTGGTTAGGCTCCTTTGTGACCCCAGGCCCTGATCTTTTTTATTTAGAGCACTTTCTTTAGAATGGCTGTAATTCTACTTTTTTTCTCACTCCTTTGACATCTTTTAAAACATTTTAAAAGTCTCTTTCCAGTTATATATTCAAGAATGTGTTTTTCAAGAACCTAGGAGCCATTTCTTTGACATATACTCATCAAGGAAGATAGTGCCCCATCTTCAAGTCTTTATTGGAGTACAAGGCTTCCTTGCAAGCCTTATGGCAAGTTGTAAAACTACTTTGTGTCATGAAGATATGAGAAAGTTTACTTTGCCATTTGGGTAAGGCCAATTAACAAAATACAGGTAGCCTATGATCTCCCCTTCACTTCCGCTTTATTTCATTTTTTATTTTAAAATTGACAAATACAAAGTTGGACATATTGGCGACATAGAGGATGATGTTTTGAAATATGCATACACTGTGGAATGCCTCGTTTGAGCTAATTATCACGTGCATTACCTCACATACTCATCATTTTTCTACCCTTGGTCTTAAAAAGTCTAACTCCCTTTGTTTTGGTGGAATTGAGTACAGACTGAGTTCTGGACTCCCTCCTCTATTGCAATAGTCTTGAATAAAATCTTGCACAGTTTTTTCTTAATTAAGAAAAAGTAATATTTCCTAAAGATATGAAAAATCATAAACTAAAAAGTAGTAAGTAGTGTACTAGCATTACTAGAATTAAAACTCTCTCCTCCCCCATATATACATATAATTATATATATATATATATATATATATATATATATATATATATAAAACATAGGGATATATACACACATACATATATAGGGATATCTACACATTAAATATATACACATTATATGTATACACACACATATGTTTAAATATCCCTATATATTATGTACACATATATGTGTATATATTTCTATATATTATAGATGGGGAATAAAAGAGAGGATTGTAAGTGTATATGTATGTGGATATCTGTGTATATAAGCGTAGGGATAAATACACATATGTATGTATATAAATATATTTATATAATATATAGTATATATACACACAATATATACATCATATATTATTTGTATATAATATATACATCATATATTATATTGTGTATATGTATCATATATGTACATATTTATAGATGCATACATAGATGTCATATTTATCCATATTATATGTATATATTTTATATACATATACATATATTCATGAATATGCATATATATGTACGTGTGTATATATGTATAGATACATAAAATTTTGGATATAAAAAATGGATGGATATATAGAATATGTAAAAGCCCCACAGGATGGAAATAGACATATGCAACATACATAATTAGCAAAGTTTTAATATCTGGAAGATATATAAAAACTACCAATATTCAAAAACTGAAAAGGTACACAATTCTAGGTGAAAAAACAAAGGAAATGAAAAAGCATTCATGAAAAAGGAGACTTGATTGTCAACTAAATATATAAACTAATAATTATGTTCAGTTTCATTATTAATCAAGAAATGAAAACATCCCTGAGGTAAAATTTGATACCAAATAGATTGACTATATTCTTTTAACAAGGTTAATTCCATTTTAGGGTGCAATTTAGTAATATTGTGGATAAGCAAAAGTACACGTACACTGCATTCTGACAATTTCAATCTAGGTGGGTTTACCTTAGAGGAACCCAAGTGTAGAGATGTAGATAACAGTACTACATTAATCCCTTTATGATAGAAACAATCTAAATTTTCCTCAGTGGGAGATAAATTGTGGTTTATACATGCAATGCAGTATTAAACAAGTAAAATGAATGTTTAAATCATAGAGGTCTAAGTAGGGATGAAATTCACCAATATTTTTAGTAAAAGAAGTAATTTGCTTCATAATCTGTAGAATTTTATATCAGTTGAAATATTGCAATTACATAAAACAATATTTTATATTTTAATAAACATTTTTATAAAAGTTAAAATTGCATATTTGTGATTCCAACTTCAGACTAGTGGTTATATTAAGGAGAGACAGATGGATAAGTGTTAGGGTGTTTTGAGGGTATGCTTTAATGGTAATTTTATTTATTTTAAACACGTGAATACAGCAAAATATGTACCTATATTAAAAGATGCACAGTTTCAATGGTATGCTTACTTGGAAATTTATAATCTCAGGGGCACATAATATACTTTCATATTTCATGAGAATTTTCCAATCCTTCTTCTATAATCTTTATCTTACTTAAGAATATTGAATACATAACTAAAGTATTTCCCCTAAAGAGTAATTAAAGCATTAGAAGAGAAGTACGCAAATGAGAGACTCAAAGAAATTTTATAATTAACAGTCATGTGAAATAGAAGAGCTTCCAAGTGAGACTAAAAAGATTGAAATTGGAATGGAGAAGAGAAGAAGACTGTTACTGATGCCAATGGAAAAGATTATTTGCAGATGTGGATGTCATTAACTCTATTTATAAGTAATAAGATTTCAAGTATTTGAGAACTGAGAAGTATGATTAGATTTAACAATGTGCAGGCAATTAGTGATGCTAGCAAGAATCTCTTCAGGACCGTGTTAGGCAAGACTGCTAGCACATTGTGCATTGAGGAGCTGATGTAGAGTGTGGATGCAGAGACAGAAAATCTTCTGGAGACATTTTGCTGTACATTCTAAGTTAATATCTCTGGATATGGGGCCCTATAATCTGTGTTTTTATAAGTCCTCCAAGTGATTCTAAAGCATGTTAATGTTTGAAAAGTTCTATTTTTTTAATGTGGGAAACACTAAATTTTGGGAAAACACCTGTAAACAGAGGATAAATAAATCTATAAAAGGAATAGCTGATGGACCATGATCCCTTGCAAATTTATCTTTAATTGCAAGTAATAATGAGATCGAGATTATGTTCCTAAATTGAAGTTGTTTGAAAAAGAAAGACTTTAGTAGTAAGGAGAATTCCACCAGGGTACAAAGAAGAGCTGGTACCATTTCTTCTGAAACTCTTCCCAAGAATTGAAAAGGAGGGGCTCCTTTCTAACTCATTTTATGAGGCCAGCATCATCCTCATACCAAAATCTGGCAGAGCTAAACAAAAAAAGAAAACTTAAGGCCAATATCTGTGAACATTGATGCAAAAATCCTCAATAAAATACTAACAAACCTAATCCAGCAGCACATCAAAAAGCTTATCCACGATCAAGTCGGCTTTATCTCTGGGCTGGTTCAACACACACAAATCAATAAACATAATACACCACATAAACAGAACTAAAGAGAAAAACCACACGATTATCTCAATAGCTGCAGAAAAGGCCTTTGATAAAATTCAACATCCTTTCATGTTAAAAACTCTCAGTAAACTAGGTATTGAAGAAACATACCTCATAATAATAAGAGCCATTTATGACAAACCACAGCCAATATCATACTCAATGGGCAAAAATTGAATGCATTCCCCTTGAAAACTGGCACAAGACAAGGATTCCCTCTCTCGGCACTCCTATGCAACATAGTATTGGGAGTTCTGGACAGGGCAATCAAGCAAGAGAAAGAAATAAAGGTATACAAATAGGAAGAGAGGGGGTCAAATTTTCTCTCTTTGCAGATGACATGATCCTATATTTAGAAAACCCCATCGTCTCAGCCCAAAAACTCCTTGAAATGATAAGCAACTTCAGCTCAGGATATAAAATCAATGTGAAAAAAATCACGAGCAGTCCTATATACCAGCAACAGGCAAGCAGACAGCCAAACCATGAATGTACTCCCATCCATTCGCAATTGCTGCAAAGAGAATAAAATACCTAAGAATACAGCTAACAAGGGAAGTGAAAGACCCCTTCAAGGAGAAGTACAAACCACTGCTCAAGGAAATCAGAGAGAACACAAACAAATGGAAAAACATTCGATGCTCATGAATAAGAAGAATCAGTATGGTGAAAATGGCCATACTGCCCAAAGTAATTTATAGATTCAATGCTATTCCCATTAAACTACCATTGACATTCTTCACAGATTTAGAAAAAAACTATTTTAAATTTCATGTGAAACAAAAGGAGCCCTTATAGCCAAGACAATCCTAAGGAAAAAAAAGAAAAGAAAAAAAAAAAAAAAAACTGGAGGCATCATGCTCCTTGACTTCAAACTATATTACAAGGCTACAGTAACCAAAAGAGCATGGCACTGGTACAAAAAAAGACACCAAAATGATGGAACAGAAATAAGACTATACACCTACAACCATCTGATCTTCGACAAACCAGGTAAAAACAAGCAATGCAGAAAGGATTCCCTATTTAACAAATGGTGGTGGGAGAACTGGCTAGCCATATGCAGAAAATTGAAACTGAATGCCTTCCTTACACTTTATTAAAAAGAAACTCAAAGACTTGAAGGTAAAACCCAAAATTATAAAACCCTAGAAGAAAATCTAGGCAATACCATCCAGGGCATAGACACAGGCAAAGATTTAATAATGAAAATGTCAACATCAATTGCAACAAAAGCAAAAATTGACAAATGGGATCTATTTAAACTAAGGAGCTTCTGCACAGCAAAAGAAACTATCATCAAAGTGAACAGGCAGCCTAGAGGATGGGAGAAAATCTTTGCAATCTACCCATTTGACAAAGGTCTAATGTCCATAATCTACAAGAAACTTAAACAAATTTACAAGAAAAAAACAACCCCATTAAAAAGTGGGCAAAGGACATGACACTTCTCTAAAGACATTTATGAGGACAATGAACATATGAAAAATAGCTCAACATCATCGATTATTAGAGAAATGCAAATAAAAACCACAATGAGATACCATCTTATGCCTGTCGGAATGGCAATTATTAAAAAGTCAAGAAACGACAGATACTGGCAAGACTGAAGTGAAATAGGAACACTTTTACACTATTGGCTGGAATGCAAATTAGTTCAACCATTGTGGAAGACAGTGTGGCAATTCCTCAAAGACTTAGAACCAGAAATGTAAATACCATTT
Source organism: Homo sapiens (assembly GCF_000001405.40). Classification (NCBI taxonomy): domain Eukaryota; kingdom Metazoa; phylum Chordata; class Mammalia; order Primates; family Hominidae; genus Homo; species Homo sapiens. Next base: position 86,427,429 of record NC_000013.11, on the reverse strand, counting down.
GACCTAGCAATCCCATTACTGGGTATATCCAAAGTAATATTAATCATTCTATTGTAAAGATACATGCACATGTATGTTCATTGCAGCTCTATTCACAATAGCAACAACATGGAATCAACCCAAATGCCCATCAATGACAGACTGGATAAAGAAAATGTGGTACATGCACCCCATGGAATACTATGCAGCTATAAAAAGGAAAAAGGAATGAGATCATGTCTTTGCAGGGATATGAATGAAACTGGAAACCATTATCCTCAACAAACTAATGCAGGAACAGAAAACCAAACACCACATGTTCTCACTTATAAGTGTGAGCTGAACAGTCTGAACACATAGACACAAGTAGGGGAACAACACACACTGGGGCCTGTCAGGAGGGGACAAGGAGAGAGAGAGAATCGGGAAAAATAACTAATGCATAGTAGGCTTAATACCTAGGTGATGGGTTGATAGGTGCAGCAAACTACCATGACACACAGTTACCTGTGTAACAAATCTGCACATGCTGCACATGTACCCTGGAACTTTAAAAAATATGAGATTTTTTTGCATTTTTTAAGCTCATCATCTATTGTTAGTGTTTGTGTATCTTATGCATCTCCCAAGACAATTATTCTTCTTCCAATGTGGCCCAGGGAAGCCAAAAAATTGGGCACCCCTGTTCTGGAGAATCTAACGAAGGGTATTTTTTCTTTGTCTTTTTTAGCTTCTAGAAGCAACTTCATTCCTTAGCCCTATACTTCATGTTTAAAGTCAACAGTATAGCAGCTTCAAATCTCACTCTGACTCTGCTTCCTCTTCTCTGACTCTGACTCTCTTACCTTTCTCTTTCGCTTTTAAGGACTTGATCAATAACATTCAGCCCTCTGGATAATCCACAATATCCCTTGCATCTCAAGATTCTTAATTATTCACATCTCCAAAGTCCCTTTTTCCATGTAAGGTAACATATTAATAGATTCTAAGGATGAGGATGTGGACATATTTGGAGGGCCTTTTATTCTAATACATCCCTTTGATTTGTAAATTTGGATAAAGTGATCTAAACTTCAGTGGTTGAATAACATTTGCCTGCATATAATTTTACTATTAAAATATTATTGCTAATTTTATGGCATTATATGGTGCAATTGCTCTTTGCCTGAGTGATTTCAAACTTCCCCAATAACAAACAATATGAAGTACAATTTAAGTTCAATTTGGGTGTTGTTATATTTGCTAATTTACAGCAAATCAACATTTTGTAAATAACCTCCAACCACACTTTTGAGTTTAGAAAGGACATGAAATTTCACCAGACTTTCTCAAAAAATATCAGAGATGGTTAAATCATAGAATTATAAGATTAAGTAAATACAAATTTTTGGAAAATGTATGCATATAGGAGACCTGTAAATTTTAAGAGTTTATGTATAAAAAGAAAATGTTTTCAGTTATTCCTAGTTTATAGACAATCATTCTAACTTTTATAAATTGTATTTGTACTTTCTGTTAACTGGTGTCAAACATTTTTCCCTAATATATCTATTTTGGAGAAGAGATGATATTGGTCACATTGCAGGTCAATTGGTATTCTTTCCTCTTTAAAAACATGCCTGAATGTCATCAGTTCATCTTTTCATGCACTAGGGATATGGAAAGAACATTAGGATATTTTGATGAAGATCTTTGGCAGAATTGAACACAATAACATCATGGGGTAGCTGAGCTCTAGATTTATATATTACACCACATGCCAAAAAAGGAGGCCTTTTGTAAACAAGAAGCAAATTAGGCAATGCAAGCTCACTTGGATTTTTTTTTTTTCTTTTTTGGCTGGAAAAACAAGGAGAGACTATCACAGAAAATAATCACTCTTTTCTAGGATATGTATGTGCAAAGTTTATTTAATCATCCCATAGATTTTTTTTTTTAAATACAGCTTTAGCATTTGAGAAGAGTTGTGAGTGAAATGGTGTTAAGGGTTTGAAGAATAAGAGTATACAGAGTCCTATTTCAGTATTGAATTGGAAATGCTGACATTACTCCTCAGGCTATTCTCACATATTCTATTGCTATCTCCTGGGAAAAGAGGAGTGGCTACAGTCACTTTCACCCTGTCAAAGAGGACACTACGTCTGAGTCTCTCTGGCTGTTGCTCACTAGAATCAGAGCCCATTCTTTCACTGCGTGAAAGACAAAAAATAGATACGAAGACAATGGCTATTCCACTAAAGTAATTTAAAAATTCATTCTGAAAGTTAGGTTTGTGCATTTTCAAATATATTTCTCAAATATTTCTGCACGCTATTTTAAAAAGAAAAAGTTTTAGATTCAGATTGGTATTTGTCTGATGATATGATTCAGCAATGCTGAGGTGTTTTTACCTATAATTTATCATTTTACTCTTAAATAAATGGGTATGGTAAGGGTATTGTTGGCATCCTGCTTTCAAAGATGTGGTAACTAATACTTATAGACATTAAGTAACTTGTTTAAAACCACTTTCTTCATATGTCTTGTGTTAATTCATGTCTTCCCAGATTAAAAACAAGCCCTTATGGTTATAAAGAAATCTTTCTCTCTCTCTCTTGCTCTCTCTCTCTTAATATTTGTGGCTAGGGTTTCACAGTCTCATGGAGATCAAGATGTACAACATTCTGCAAGAAAGCTTGATATTCAAAACCAAAATATATTTATAAGAAGTCTCCAAAATCATTCATGAAAGGAAACCATGTGTGTGAAATTAAAATACAATGCTCCTGCCCAGGCAAAACCGTTTTAATCCTTCGCTATATCAGAACGTTTTATAACAGGGCAATAGCATTGATGACAAAATTATGTTTATCTGAATCTGTTTGCATGTACCTGTGAACATTTCTATTTATTCTTTGATTTCTCCTCTGGCCACAGAAGTTTATTGAAAAAAATAAACATTTTTTAAAATTTCACCTAGGTACAATTTTTGCATTTTACCTATAAATTTCTTTCTATGCAATTCAGTTAAGAACCTGTTAAATAAAGGTGAAATATTCTGCTTTCCAAATAAAACCTTTCAAAACATGTTTATTGTTTTTTAATCAAAGACACTTTAGCATGTCATGTGCTAAACCCTAAATCAGTCCCCTTTAACAAAATGTGTATTTAGTATCACCTTGCAGTACAATTTATTACCTTCATGTATATTAGCTCTCTGATTCCTCATATATTAAGCTCTTTCCAACCTGACATATTTTCCCACTATCTGAAATGCTTTTCCTTTCCTTATTCAGCAACTTACTTAAACTTTCACTTTAATTTCACTTGAAATTTTACTACTTCAGGAATCACTTCACTAAACTCTTCTGCTAGACTAAACCTATATTTCGGATAGCTATGCATAGAAACTTGCATTACTCTTCTGACTCTTGGCAGATTTGTAATTTTCTGCTTGTTTCCTTGCTATCAGTATGCTCCTCAAGAGCAAAATTCTTGTCTGCTTTGTTCTCTTTTAACTTCATCAAGCTACAATAGTGCTTCATATTGTTAGGCATCCATAACTATTCTCTAACAAATATGAGTGAAAATTATGAACTCTGAGGTACAACATTTCATTCCAAACCATGAAGAATGCATGCATGCACAGTCACATATATATACATGTATATATAGTGATTGTATACGTGCATATATACATGTGTATATGTATATAATATACATGCATGCAATCTACATGGTTTGCAATTAACTATATATGTATGTGTGTATATAGGTACATGTATATATAGTTATTTTAAAAGTTGGATTCAGTAGAAGTGGCTTTAGTTTACACTTTGCATTAGTTTTTAGATTTGCCTATTTACATAACTTTTTTGATCTCCAATTTCCTCACTGATGATATAATCTCTACCCCTTCAGTGATTTGTTTCAAGATTTCCATCAGGTAATACTTATAAAGTGTCTTTTCCAAGGTACAGTTAAATTCTCAGTAACTATTGGCTTTTATCATTGTACGCTGAGAAATTTTCATTCATTTTACAATAAGCAGAGAGGAAGCAGTCTATCTTTTGCGAAAGTAAGAACACAGATAATAATAACAAGTATAAAAATATAGAGGCTTAGTTTATATTTAAGCATATAGAGAAGATGATGGAAGTTAGTTTCATTTTGTATTTTTGTTTTTGCTCTTTGTTTGATTGTATTTTATTTGTTCTTCTTGTTTTTTTCTCCTCTCTCATTTTCTTTTAAATCAGAAAAACAAAATTGATCCTGCAGGTTATATAAGGAATAAATGATTTGAACTCTTTGCGTTCATGGCCTAGTGAGACCTCCAGCTGATACATGTGATTGCCCCAGGTGAAAAGTTTGATTACTCTCATGAAAAGAGTGAAAGGACGGTAATGAGGGAATCACTTTCGCAGACAGTCCATGGCTCCTGCGTTTTGCATACATAGCATAGTAGAGATAGGAAAGAAATTACAGAGGGACTGTTTCAGAATGTGGATTGACCTGGAAGGGAGCAAAGGCAGGTGGGGAAGGGACAGCGCTGGACCCACCTCAGCAGCATGACGCAGGCAAGTCTGCCTTTCCCAGTTATGTGGCTGCTGTATCATAAATTCTATGCTGTGTGCCCTGCACCCTGCTTCTCTTTCTTGCTTACTGTTCTTTAGCTAAATTAATTTTTTTCTGAAATAATTCGGTCTTTTGTCAAAAGTATAAAGTTGTTCAAATACAGGCAACTTGCCCATTTTTAAGTAGGAGTACTTTGATTCTCATATTAGTACTGTGGTCTTCAGTGTTTTAAGTCACATAGATGAACATCATGAGCTTGGAGCACAGTGTGTTGTGTACGTTTGTGTAAAAATGTGTATCCTCTTGGATTACGTGGTGGATTATATTAGAGTGATATATATAAAATAAATGTATAGTGTCAAATAAAAGGCCTAGTATTAACATATTTTAATTATATTTCTCTTTTTAAATGACATAAGACATTCTCATTCAAATGACAAATTTATTTCTCTTTTCTCTTTTTACAATAGCAAAAATAAAAAAAATCAAAAGAAATACAGCAAATATATTCACAACAGCAATAGTATTTCTTACACAATTTATTACTTTAATCACATATGTTTAAATCTTACTAGAAAGCAATTTAATAAGCAAGTTTATACTACTTTATTTTCATGTATTTATTGAATTTCTGTATTATATTAGCCTACTCTGATTGACACAGAAAGGTGAAATTTAGAAAAAATGTCCAAGTTAATTTTGTTCATTGTACAGTTAAATTGTACAGTTAAATAAATATTAGCCAAAGCAAACTTGGCTCATCCAACCTGCATATTAAGAATTGAAATTGACTAAAAGTTTAAGGTATTCTAATCAAACATATTACTATTAGGATGAATTTTTTATTCATTCATTATCTGCCATTACCCTTTACACATCTGCCTATTATGGCAGTTATTGTGGTGTGTCTTAGTTATTTATGTGTCTGCGTCTACAAAAATTCCCTAAGTTGGAGCTATTACTCAGTTCAGTATTACATAACGTTTGATATGTAAGTACCCAATAAATAGTGCTGTGCCAAGTAATAGCTTATGGAGGTAGGTCGATTAAGATACTGATTTAGTAGATTTCACATGATACATTTGCATATTTTAAGATATATTCAATTTATTCCATTATTTATAGGAAAATGTTACATGAACATTTCCTTTGCTTCATGCTATTCATATTGAAAAACTGAGAAATTAAAGAATAACAGTGCCACATACGAAGTGTGATCATCTGATTGCCCATGATAAAAAGTGATATACTGTGTAAAACATCTCTGTCAGCATGAGACTGTCTCTTTCCAATTTTGGCTGTATTAAGAGTTGTTTCTTTTGAAATGGAAATGAACTCATTATTTATCAAGTCTTGCAGAGCTCTACTTAATTCCAAATATTACATCAATGATAATTTCCTGCACATTTTAAATCATGCTAATGAAACCATTTTCTTTAATATCTTAACTTGTATAATGCTTTTTCCTTTTATGCTTTTATGAATAATTTAGTTTAGATTCTAGAAGCAGGAAAAATGCTGAGGTTGAGATTATTTCTAGGCAGTGCGTATGAATAAGCTATTGATTAGAACATGTAAATTACTAGTTATGTTTAAAATTCAGTAAGGAATATGGAGCATTTAAACCACATGCAAGATATGAAAACACAATGGTTACGTGTTGGATCCCCAACACAACAGCTTTAAAGAATGCAAAGTACCACTACAGGCCAAGATGTAATAAGAGAGACTGGATTTAACTTTCTGCACGAAACAAGTAAAAACCCAGACAAAATATATGTTGGCACAATTTTTATGACATTAGACTCTAGTTAATGAAAGGTAGTAACCTCCTAGAGATGGGAAATAATCTGAAAGCCTAAAATAACCTACAGTCACAGTCCAGAAAGAGAGAAACCAGGTAGATCCCAGAAGACTTTCAGAAGTGAGACAGAGGAATCTGCAATGATCAAGGTGGCTAAAAGTCAGAGGGTAGAGTAATGAAGAATAGCTTTTGCACAAAGAGAGGAACTGTGGTGATCCATATGTGGTCCCTCTCGGGAATTTGGGAGAGTATTTACCAGCACAGACATGTGAACAAACCACCCAAGAACAGGATAAAAACAATTAAAATAATGGAACACCTAAAATAATCAGTTAAAGCACCTGACACTAGTGAAAGACTGCCAGCCAAATTAGAACACCGTGTAATTCAAGAGCGATTGGGAAGACGAAATAGACTGACCTGGCCTAGAATAAATCCTACTCTGTGACTAACAATGCTTAATAACAAGCCCCAAGGGAAAATACTATTTTGCTGTAACTTAACTGCATTCCAGAACAAAGATGAAGAATCCTGGCCAGGCACAGTGGCTCACGCCTGTAATCCCAGCACTTTGGGAGGCCAAGGTGAGTGTATCATCTGAGGTCAGGAGTTTGATACCAACCTGGCCAACATGATGAAACCCCCATCTCTACTAAAAATACAAAAAAAATTAGCTGAACATGGTAGTGTGCACCTTTAATCCCAGCTACTCGGGAGGCTGAGGCAGGAGAATCACTTGAACCCAGAAGAAGGAGGTTGCAGTGAGCCGAGATCGTGCCACTGCATTCCAGCCTGGGTGACAAGAATGACTCCGTCTCAAAAAAAAAAAAAAGAAATAAAGGAAAAAAAGTTATGATTCTTAGAAATATATAGCAAAGACTTAGAACAAACCCAAATGTCCAACAATAATAGACTGGATTAAGAAAATGTGGCACATATACACCATGGAATACTATGCAGCCATAAAAAATGATGAGTTCATGTCCTTTGTAGGGACATGGATGAAGCTGGAAACCATCATTCTCAGCAAACTATTGCAAGGACAAAAAAACCAAACACCACATGTTCTCACTCATAGGTGGGAATTGAACAATGAGAACATATGGACACAGGAGGGGGAACATCACATACCGGGGACTGTGGTGGGGTGGGGGGAGGGGGGAGGGATAGCATTGGGAGATATACCTAATGCTAAATGACAAGTTAATGGGTGCAGCACACCAAAATGGCACATGTATACATATGCAACAAACCTGCACGTTGTGCACATGTACCCTAAAACCTAAAGTATAATAATAATAATAATAATAATAATAATAATAAAAAGCAATATCTAGCACTCAATAAGGTAAAATTCGCAGTACTTGGGATCCAACACAAAACTAGAAGGTATGCAAAAAAGCAGGAAATACAACCCATAATGAGGAGAAAAATCAGTTTATCAAAACTGACCCAGAACTGACACAGATGTTGAAATCATCTGACAAGGATATTAAAATAGGTGTTCTAAGTGTATTCTTTACTTTCAATAAGCTGGAAGAATGATTGATTACGTTACATAGCAAAAGAAGAGATTTTTTAAAAAGTAATTCAAACTTCTAGAAATGACCATCATAAAAATCTGACATAAAAAATGCACTACATGACACTAATGGAAGAAAAAGTTTAATGAACTTGAAACAAAAGAAACGCTCCCAAATAAAACTCAAAAAGAGGCTGAAATGTGGAACAAATTTAAGAGGCCTTATATATGAATAATTAGCACTTCCAAAGAAGAGGAGGTATGGAAAGGAAAAAAAAATATTGAAGAAATGATGGCAGAATATATTCCAAATTTGGAAAAGATAGTATAAATCCGCATGTGTAAGAAACTCAGATCTCCAAGCACAAGAAACATGAGAAAAACTAACAAGTCACTCCATAGTCAAAACAGGTAATAAATGGAAACAGGGGAGATTACAGTCAATAGCAAAAGTGCTCATAAGTGGTGATCGATTTGAGGGTGGGTTGTAGAAATATATTATTTCTACTGAGTTCATCAGGGCACAATGATTGATAATACAGTAATTTCCCTTTAACTGTGAGGATAAATTCCAACACTCCCATTGGAAGCCTGAGTCCAAGGATAGCATTTAACCCTATATGCATGTTGCCACATGGTACCAGAGTTAACCTGTCCTTTCACGTCTCATCCCCCGGTGCCTCCTTGGCACCTTTGTGAATGTAAGTTCTATTGGGCAGATCCTTCCAGAAAAGCCTAGCTTTATCATAATTGAAGACATGCGTTGAATACTTTCTCCTAATCAACTTCTTCAGCTTCTGGAAATGGGGCAGCAACTTCTTCATTGGCAGAAGCAGCCTCTCCTATTTTTATATTTTTCAGTCTAAACTTATTCCATCCTTCACTTGCAGTAGGTGGCTTGGTGTCACTCATTTCAGGGGATCCCTTTGAAGTGTTGACATAGACTCAATGCTTTCTGGAGTAACACATTGCTTTCAATCAGAACACGTTTCTGTTCATGTCTTCTACCCACAAATTTAATGCTTGTAAATCTTAACTAATAACTTATTATGTAGTTTGCCTGTAATGGTTGCATCTTTAGTTGTGACAGCAAAGCTAGCACACGTTTTTTTCTTCTTCACAATTTTAGGGATAGAAGATTCATGCTTACTGTAGATCTTAGCCACCTCAGCATACTTTTTTTTTCTTTCTCTGTTAAGTTTAGAACTTCTATCTTTTCACTTAAAGCAATAACTTCATGGCTTCTCTGGCATATCCAAATTGCTAGCATAACTACTCTTGTGTTTGGGGCCCTTATGAACCCAAGCACTGCAGTGCCATGACAGTGAAGCTGATAGCTGAGATGGCTGCTAAATGACTTATGGGCAGAATGCAGAGAATGTGGAGACTCTGGACAAAGAAATGATTCAAGTCCTGAATGGATGGAGTAGGACAATACAAGATATCATGATGCTACTCTGAATGCTGAAAAATTTAAAACTTAGGAATTGTTTCTTTCTGAAATTTTCCATTTAATATTTTTGGACCATGAGTAACTGAAACCTCGGAAAATGAAACTGTGGATAATGAAAGTCTACAGCACTGCTAACTATCTCTTTTAGATCAACACTTACTAAGGATATAAATCGTGAGAAATGCACCAGCTTACTTTCTGTAGAAAAATATTGAATTCCTGCAGATATACATAAACTCCTGATTCTATCTGAATGAACTGGATAAAAGTAATGACACAGCATCTTCTGTCGCCATTTATGAGCTGTTGACTATAGTTATTAACGTGCAGTGTGTAGGTTATATGTAGCAAAGTTAATTATGTTTTTCAGACCTCTAGAAAGAAGTACTATCAAGGAATTGAATGTTGTTTTAGATACTAAATAGAAGAGTTCCTGAATTCCATCTGGCCAACAGTGAAGATAGTACGTTGTTAAGACAGCCTAAGAGTGAAGAAAGTAGATTGTAGCTATCACTAGAGGTCACAGTTTGGTGTCCTCCTTTGAACACTTCTAATGGGACTTTGGTTAGAATATATTCAAAGAAAGTGAAAGCAGTACTTTGATAGCTTCGAGGGAAACAAATCATGACATACATAATTACTCTCCAAAGTTAACACAAAGGATATCTATGGAAAAGCAGTGGAATGGCATCTTTAAGCAGGTAAATGTTTGAGAGTAGATTATATACAATTAAGACTCATGGCATGCACAATAGCTTTTGGTTAAGACCTTATTCCTAAATTGTACAAATGCCATCAATATTTAATACCAACAATATATACGATGGTAACATCAGTCCTGATCCATGCGTTTCAAATGTACTGTGGGGATGTTAAGAGTTAGCCTTGCTCTACTAGGTAAGGCTGAAATAACAACCCTGGAAGGTCATCATCATGGTAAAAAAAAAAAAAAAAACAAAAACCAAACAACAACAACTCTGGTCATATATATAGAGAGAAATACCTGTGTTCCAGGAGTCTCCCTAGGTGCAAAATCAGCTTGAGAAGAATACAAACACTATTGAAATGCACACATCAAATAATGACTCTAAAGGAATATCATATTCATCAGCAAGCTGTAACATAACAGTTTCATCACCTACAAAGAACTTCCTAATTTGTAAGATATATGTAATTTGATGTTTTTAGAAGTCATTGATCATGGGGTAGGGGTGAGAAATGTTTGAGACTTAGGCAAAATGAGAAATTTTGTAGGAAATTTATGGTGGATCTAGCTGATTAAGGAATGGACACTGGAGATTGTGGACTGTATCATTGGTCTTTAACCTTCCAGGTATAACAGTACTACAGACTGAAAGAAAATTTATATTTTTCTCTTAGTGCAACTGTTTGCAGTTGGAAAGAAAAATAGGTGGCACCAATTTGGGGAATATAGAAGAACAGTATTATATAACGATATCTGGAAGCCAGTACATTAAGGAGTCCTACTGTTCCATGTGATACACAGTTACATACAAAAATTGGATGGGATCTAGAGTTTACTGAGCAATGACTTCTAGTCACCCTCCTTGGTCATAGGAAATGTTGGGTATCTAGAAAAATGTTTTCTTTTTAGAAGGAATAAAGAATGATGCAGTAATTTTTACTGTTACATGGTTTATCAAGCCTTCTTTTAATTTTCCTACCACAGCTTTCTGTTGTAATAGAGTTCCTAAATTTACTCATTAAATGAAATTAAAAACAGATTTATATAGACAGTGATCTCTGTGATGAGAACGTAGAAGCTGATGTGAAGCCCCTGACTGATGCAATGCCTATGGGAATGTTTGAAAGCAGAAAGTAAATTTATCTTTAGAAAAACTATACATTTAATTAACCCCTCTCCCCTTAACATAGGATAATGGAGGAAAAATAGTAATTGAGCAGGTGAAAGAATATCCAAAGGTCTTTAAAGGGATATGGTTGTGATTAACATGCTCTGAGGAAGGAATTCCCACGCTCCATCACATTGTTCAAATCCTAGTGGTCATCCTACGTGATGACTTTGCATAAAACTTTGCAAAAAAGATATTGTAAGACAATAGCTATGTAAAAATATTTAGTGAAGTGATATTGACTGAAGAGGAAGGAGTTATATTGACTGGATATACTGATAATATCTCAGAATTACAGCAATAGAAACACAAGAATTAGAGATAATGAGGCAAGAGAAATAAAAGAGATGGAATTTAAATATGTAACAGTGATTTAATATAATCAAGTTGAACAATATTTGAACAACACTTAACAACTCCTCCAACAGTTTGGAAATGATGAAAACTAATTTAAATTAAGAAAAATTTTAAATGACTATTCTGGAAGATTGTTAACTTTCCAATTTAAATAATTTTATGAATTGCTAATTTATATATTTTGAATGAGATGAGATTTAAAAAAAAAAGACTGAAGTTTCACAAAGTAATACAGAAGGAAAAAAATTATCTTTAGTGGAAGCTAAAATCTACGTCTCCTACCCCACTTGGAGGGATTTAATAAGGGCCAAATGAAATTTAATGTTTGCAGTGAGAACCAAGGGCACAAAAAGTTACAAATAGAAAGTTCATGAAAACAATAACAATAAAACAATAATATTTCAGATAAAATAGAAGTATTAAGAAGGCATAAATAGAATATTCAGGAAAAGGAAGATAAGGGCACAAGCAAAATCCCAAGGGATTTTCTGTATTTGGTCTAAAGTAGTACTCAGAAGAACTTCAATATTATCATTGAACAAAGGAGAAAGGGCAGATTTCTACAAGGCTCACTAAAATTTTTCATTTCCCCATTTTTTTCCTTAGAAATAACATCCCTTCCATAAAAATTTTGAGAATAAAATACAAAGATATAGGCTGCATTTTTGATGAAAATAACAGATATCATCTTAATCTGCCAATCACAAGATATAAAGAAGGGCTGTTAGAGGCACTGGCCGCTACACACCATGTTAAAGAAGTAGAGAGATAATGTCCAATTGTTTTATTTCATGGAAAAAGGCAAACAGTACTCAGTTCTTCAGGGACATGGCATAGCCTGAGATTTAAACAACCATAATTTATGTACAACATTGTGTATTTTATGTATTGACTCTTCTGTAATCTCTTTGGCAAAGAGCGAAAGGAGAGGTGAGAGAAGGGGAGAGGACTGGGGAGGAGGAGAGAAAACAGGAGGAGGGGTAAGAATGGAAGGGCAGGGGAGAGCATGAGGAGGGAGGGGAGGAGGACGAGAGGAGAGGGGAGGGAAGAGCAAGGGAGAGGAGGAAAAGATAAAGAGAGAGGAGAGGCAGAAAAGAGAGAGAGCAAGGGGAGGAGGAGAGGAGAGAAGTGAAGAGGGGACGGGAGAGTAGGAAAGCAGAGGAGAGGGGAGGGGAGAGAGGGAAGGAGAGGAGGCTGAAATATAAGAAACCTCACAGGTAAGCAATGTTGGAAAAAGTTGTTCATCGGAAAATTAATGTGTCTTATTGCTTGTCTCCACTACTCTTGTACACTCTCTTGCACCAAAGAAGAGATGCCTGGGAACTACATTTTCCATTGTCCCTTGGTAAAAGTTTCAGGTTAGATTGAGAAACGTTGGGCACAATTTGGAAGACAGAAGAGAAGACATGATTTTTCCACTGCACTTGTGAGAAGACACATAGGCACTAAGCAAGGTAAATATTGTGGCAGTTTCTGCTTGAGTTTCAGGGCATCATCTTTTCATTGCAGCTAGTAGTTTAGACACTGAATAATGGTTTCCAGCAATTTTGACACATTCTGAACATACGGTTGTCTACCTTTCACTCATTAGCCCGTCCAATAACAAATAAGATTTTCTAATTCCCTTACTGATTAAAATATGTCAAACAAAGTGTGTTTCTAGCTAGAACACCAACGACACTGTATTTAGTAGCTGTATTTGGTACCAGGAAACAGAACCAAAAGTTAGAAATTTGGTTTTAATTTATCTCCCCATGTTAGGTGGAGTGTTTTTGTCATGCTTTGTTTTGTTTTTCACCTGTAGGCAATGGGGTACCATTAGCTCACAGTAGACAAAGGAAGTAGAAGTTTCTAACATTAGTGCCTTTTCTTTGGAATGTAAACTAACCATCTCCTCTGAGAAGGTAAGAGGGTCTATATAGTTTCACTGCAATGGATTATAATAACCATTTCCTGGGACATAAATCTATAAATCATTACGAAGTAATACACAATCTCTAGCTTACAGGGCACATACAATCAATTATTTTTTCTTTATTTTGAATTGACAAGTATAAACTCTCTATGTTTATGGTGTACATGATGTTTTGATATACGCATACCTTGTGAAATGGCTAAATTAAACTATTTAACACATCCAATATATGCATTACCTCACATAATTTTTTCTGGTGAGAACACTTGAAATACACCCTTTTAGAAATATATCTATAATATATTGTTATTAACTGTAGTCAGCATGAGGTCAATAGATTTCTTGAACTTGTTCATCCTAACTGAATTTTTTGTGTTCTTGCCCAGTGCTCTTTGACAGAAATCCCAGATCATGAACATACATGAAAATATTCATGGAGAATTGTCTCCTACCAAATTTTATGGAAAACTCATATTTCAAAAAAAGACACGTCTAAGAATGAGGTGTGTAATTAAGAATTTAAATGATATTTGATTTCTTTCTGTGATTTTATTTCAATTATCTCCTGAAATAAATAGATTGTAGGGTTTATATAGAGGTTTAGTTTTATTGGTGAGTGAGGAAAAAGGGACAAAGAAGTTCAGATAATTGGTACCATATAACTATTTTTATAGATCATGAAATTTAGTCTAACTATGGAGAAAAACAAAACAAAACAGAACCATGTTAATGGTAGTGAAAAAAATGTGTTGGAATAAAAAGATAAGTCATGGCCTTTGAGATCCAATGATGAAATTTGGTAGGGCAGCCTGTAAGAGTGCTCTCTGTCAGTGAGCTGATAAGGTGACTTAAAAGAAATAAAAATAAACATATTTTTAGGTGTATTGTTAGAGACAGTTTGAGTTTTCTGATGATAAAATTTACAATGTTAATTTCACAGAAACTATAAAATGAGGAGAAAACATAGTAAGAGGGTAACAAGCAAAAGTACAGACAATTAATACACATGGTTGAGCCTAGAGTAGAAATAACCAATTAGTGAGTGCATTTTACAGAGTGGAAATGATTGTAAACAGCCAAGGTAGTTGACACTTTTACAGAAGTTGAGGTAACCCATATGAATTGTATGGTGGAATTTATTGAGATAATAATGAAAAACTAGTCCTCCAGGTACAATTTTCAAGGCTTTTTTTTTTTTTTTCTGGGAGTGGCAGATAAAAAAACAAACAAGCTATCGATTACCAAATCATGGTCTGTGTAATGGTGGAGGTGGCTCATAAGCATGTTAAAGTAATCTGCTTCGTCTTCAGATTCTAGAGAATAGTACCCTATGATAGAATTAATATTTGGGATTTAACTAAGGCTTGGTTGGACTTCTTTCCCAAGATTTCTAAATTCCCTTTGAGTTACATTCTATTTTTCCAGTTTCACAGAAGAAGAAAAAAGATGCTTAAACCATGTTTGAATTGTAAGCAATACCCCAATGCTTAAATCACAGTGAGCGGCTCATCTTGCTTCTCTTGTTCTTTTAATTGTGATATTAGAGTGTTGATTTGAGATATTTCTAGCTTTGTGATGTAGGCATTTAGTGCTGTAAATTTCCCTCTAAACACTGCTTTAGCTGTGTCTCAGAGATTCTGGTACATTGTCTCTTTGTTCTCATTGATTTCAAAGAACTTCTTGATTTTTGTCTTAATTTCATTATTTACCCAGGAATCATTCAGGAGCAGGTTGTTCAACTTCCATGTAGATGTGTGGTTTTGAATGAGTTTCTTAATCCTGAGTTCTAATTTGGTTGCACTTTGGCTTGTGAGACTGTTGTGTTTTCAGTTATTTTGCATTTGCTGAGGAGGGTTTTACTTCCAATTACGTGGTCAATTTTAGAGTAAGTGCCATGTGGCACTGAGAAGAATGTATATTCTGTTGTTTGGGGTGGAGAGTACTGTAGATGTCTATTAGGTCTGCTTGATCCAGAGCTGAGTTCAAGTCCTGAATATCCCTGTTAATTTTCTGTCTCGTTGTTCTGTTTAATATTGACAATTTGGTGTTAAAGTCTCCCACTATTATTATGTGGGAGTCTAAGTGTCTTTTTAGGTCTCTAAGAACTTGTTTTATGAATCTGGGTGCTCTTGTATTGAGTGCATATATATTTAGGATAGTTAGCTCTTCTTGTTGAATTGTTCCTTTTACCATTATGTAATGCTCTTCTTTGTCTTTTTTGATCTTTGTTGTTTTAAAGTCTGTTTTGTCAGAGACTGGAATTGCAACCCCTGTTTTTTTCTGTTTTCCATTTGCTTGATAAATTTTCCTCAGTCTCTTTATTTTGAGCCTATGTATGCCTCTCTGCATGAGATGGGTCTCTTGAATAGAGAACACCAATGGGTTTTGACTATCCAATTTGCCAGTCTGTGTCTTTTAATTGGGGCATTTAGCCTACTTACATTTAAGGTTAATATTGTTACGTGTGAAATTGATCCTGTCATCATGATGCTAGCTGGTTATTTTGCACACTAGTTGATGCAGTTTCTTCATAGTGTCATTGGTCTTTATATTTCTGTGTGTTTTTGCAGTGGCTGGTATTGGTTTTTCCTTTCCATATTTAGTTCTTCCTTCAGGAGCACTTGCAAGGCAGGCCTGGTGGTGATGAATTCCCTCAGCATTTGCTTGTCTGAAAAGGATTTTATTTCTCCCTCACTTATGAAGCTTAGTTTGGCCGGATATGAAATTCTGGGTTGAAAATCCATTTCTATAAGAATGTTGAATATCGGTCCCCACTCTCTTCTGGCCTGTAGGGTTTCTGCTGAGACATCTGCATTAGTCTGATAGGCTTCCCTTTGTAGGTGACCCAGCCTTTCTCTCTGGCTGCCATTAACATTTTTTTTTTCATTTTGACCTTGGTGAATCTGACAATTATGTGCCTTGGGGTTGATCTTCTCATGGAGTATCTTAGTGGAGTTCTTTGTATTTCCTGAATTTGAATGTTGGCCTGTCTCACTAGGTCGGGGAAGTTCTGTTGGATAATATCCTGAAGTGTGTTTTCCAGCTTGGTTCCATTCTCCCTCTCTCTTTCAGGTACACTTACCTGTTGTAGGTTCAGTCTTTTTACATAATCCCATATTTCTCAGAGGTTTTGTTCATTCCTTTCATTCTTTTTTCTGTAATCTTGTTTGCATGCCTTATTTCAGCAAGATAGTCTTCACATTCTTACATTCTTTCTTCTGCTTAATCGATTTGGCTATTGATACTTGTGAATGCTTCAAAAAGTTCTCATGCTATGTTTTTCAGCTCCATCGGGTCATTTATGTTGCTCTCTAAATGGGCTATTCTAGTTAGCAGCTTTTCTAACATTTTATCAAGGTTCCTAACTTCTTTGCATTGGGTTCGAACATGCTCCTTTACCTCAGCAAAGTTCGTTATTTCCTACCTTCTAAAGCCTACTTCTGTCAATTCATCCATCTCATCCTCTGTCCAGTTCTGTGCCCTTGCTGGAGAGGTTTTGCGATCATTTGGAGGAGAAGAGGCACTCTCTCATTTTGGGTTTTCATCATTTTTTCGTTGATTCTTTCTCACCTTCATGAGTTTGCGTAGTTTTGATCTTTGAGGCTGCCGTCCCTTGGATGAGGTTTTGTGGGGACTTTTTTTGTTGATGCTGTTGTTGTTGCTTTCTTTTTGTTTGCTTTTCTTTCAGTAGTCAAGTCCCTCTTCTGTAGGGCTGCTGCAGTTTTCTGGGGGCTCACTTCAGGCCCTATTCATCTGGTTTGCTCCTGCTCCTGGAGATGTCATTCAAAGACACTGGAGGACATCAAAGATGGGTGCCTACTCTTTCCTCTGGGATCTCTGACCTCAAGGGGCACTGACCTGATGCCATAGGGACACTCCTGTGTAGGGTGTCTGACAATCCCTGATGGGGGTTCTCACACAGTTGGGTGGCACAGGGAGCATGACTCGTTTTATGATGCACTTTGGCTGTCCCTTGTTAGAGGAGGTGTGCAGTGCTGCCCACTCATCTTGGCTGGGCGGATGTCTCAGAGCTAGCAGGAGGAAAGACTAAGTCTGCTGGTCTGCAGAGTCTATGGCCACCCCTTCCCCTAGGGGCTCAGGCCTAGGGAGATCAGAGTTCTGTCCCTCAGCCCCTGGCTGGAGTTGGAGTTTCCCTGGGAGACCCTGCAGCCCCAGTGTTGGCTGCTGCCCCTCCCACAAGGATCTCAGATGACTTAGACAGCAGGTAGCTGCAGCAGTGGTGATGGCCACTCCCCTTGCCCCCACTCCCAACCTGGGGAACTTGTAGGGCTTAAGACAATTCTACCCAAGTGAGAGTCTGTGCGGCTCTGCGGTTGGGACCCAAGACCCCCATGACATGGGCTCCCCCCGAGTGGGATCTTCGAATCCGTGGGTTGAACAGTTCCATGGAAAAAGCACGTTTTCCCAGGTTAGGTAGCATGCTCATTTCACCACCTCCCTTGGCTGGGGGTAGGGAATCCCCTGCCCCATGTGGCTCTGAGGTGTGCCGCTGCACCACACTGCTCTTTCTTCCTTTCCGTGGGTCACGCCAACCGCCTAATCAGTCCTAATGACAGTACCTGGATACTTCGGTTGCCGATGCAGGATCACATGCTGTTTTGCATGTTTTGCATTGGAGCCCCCAATTATGGCTGCTACTAGTCGGCCATCTTGGCCCTACCCCCTACTTGATACTTAATTGGGTGTGTGTTTGACTGTATTCGTATGTGTGCTCATGTTTTATTCACTCAAAACACAAGGTAGGTAAATATTGTTAATTTTAAAAAAGTATCTATTTTATAATTTTAAATTAAAATATAAAGTTATACAGTGAGAAAATACAGGAATGATTCCTATTTTTATTTCTTCTATTAATTTTTATTCCAACTGAGATTAATTTGATTCATTCCTCTCAGATGTTAAAGATAGCATAGTGAACTCACTTGCAATTCTCATATAAACCAAATGAAAACTTGATAAAAATCTTTTCATACGATATTCTTATGTAAGCTGCCAGCACTCAGTGTGAAAGAGCATTGGTGTCATTTATATGAAAAGTCTTTCAAGTCGATGACAGAACTGGGCCAGAAGCAATGAGAATAAATTAAATGATAGTGGCTGTTCAATGGCTATTTGGAACCATGGTACAGACACCACATGCCAGTAGCTATTATTTTCTCCTTTATGTGGACCAATAGAAACAACAACAACAAAAGGCTGTTTTTCATATTTTGAAAAAGTATAACTGTCATATTTGTATTTTTAACCTATCTACATTGATCAAGACAAAAATATGTCTTCTTATAGTTGATACCAACAAAAGGATAAATCACTTTTAATTAAAATTGTTTTACTATTTTGTGAAAACCAATGCATAAAACTGTGTGGTTGAGATGACACACAATGTGCTTAATTTTGTTTTCAACTGTTTCTTTGTACCAAATAGCTTCAACTCAGCATTGAAATGTATCAACAGTTTTCTTCTCATACATGATTTGGCCCAATACTCGACGTACCCACCTCAAAGCTTACTTACTTGCTTATGTTTTTTATATATCTTACTATATTTCTTAATAAGATCTCTTTCTGAAGGAGCTCTTTATACCGGGAATATTCTCTTTAACATTTCTTGATCCCAACAAATTCATTCTACACAAACACAATTCTGAAATCCATCTATGCATTGATATCATCATTTCCCCCTCATTGTTGTAGCCGTTAATTAGATTTGAGTGCATATGCCCATCTACTACTCCTTTTCCCAGATTCACAAAATTTCTGCACTCCACTCTCTCTTTTCCTTATTGTTTAGGTATCCACGTCTGATATTCACTATTATTTGAACAGCTTAGCTTATCTCACATTTCTTATATTTTTCTGCCCAAATGAACATTTTTTCCTCTAGCACTGAAGTGTTTTTAAGGTATTTTTAGTCAGACACTGCGCTGTAACATGAACCTGTGTGATCTTGATGATATCTGTGTTCTCTTTTTGGTTATGAATAATATCAGTAAAAATTTTTAAGGTAATAGTTGCTATCATTTTAATGAGCCTTCTACATGTCCTTTGATATATTCCCTAAATAATGTATTCTAGCAAGTGAAGAAATTATGCATCCTTTTTTTTTCTCCTGTTTTTCACATATTAGGGACCTGAAACTCAGGGATAAAAAACATGTCCAATTTTAACAGATAGTCTGTGGTGAAGAGGAGAATCACACTGTGACCCTTTCTCCGTCCACATCTTTATACTGCCCTTAAAAACTTTTTTAGACAAGGTCATAAAATAGTTAAATTTATTAGTTTTGCTTCCTGTAGTTGAAAACAAAATTTTGATTTAAGTTTCTACTTGAGATTCATATTTTTTATTGGCCCTTTCTGAAGATCTCTCTCTTTCCTGTGCTGCATATTTGGTTTTAATTTGCTAGTATTTTGCTAGTTTTTAAAGAGAAATCTTAAATCATGAATTTGATACTTTAATTTTTTTAATATCAACAATGAGTGCAATAAATTTTCCTCTAGTTATTATTTTAATTTGTGCATTTGATTCAAAATGGATTCTAACTTGCCTTGTATTTGCTTATTTGACCCCTAAGTTATTTTAAAATATGTTGTTTAATTTCTAAATATTTTATGATTATCCAGGTATCTCTGCTATTTATTTCTACTCTCATTACCTGATAGTCAAATAATATACTCTGCTTGAAGTCAACCCTCCTGAATATAGTGAAGTTTTAAAATTAAGAATATGAGCATTTGAAATATTTCATGTGTACTTGAAAAGTATACGTAGTTTGTTCCTTGAGGGAAGAATGTTCTATAAATCAATTAGATCAAGTTGGTTGAAAATGTTTTTGTTGGCCTGACTCTACGATGGTCTCTGAAGATTCTGCTCTTGAAATTCACACACTTATGTAGTTCTCCTCCCACATGGTGTCATAATTGGCTTATAATAAATAAAATACAGCAGAAGTGATGGTACCTCACTTCTGTCATGAGGTCATGAAAGGCAAACACTACAGCTTCTGTGCTGGTTGCTCTCTTGCTTTTTCTTGGATCGTTTGCTCTGGGGAAAATTAAACTGCATAGTGTGACCAGCCCTGTGGAGAATTCTATGTGGTAAGAAATTGAGACTTCCAGGTAAAAGCCAACTGACACACTTGGAAGCAGATCCTCCAGTTCAGTTATACCTTCAGACAACTGCAGCCCCAGCCAACCACTCAACGGTTTGATGAGAGACTCAGTTAAAATCATCAGGGCAATCCACTACTGATATTCTGACATTCAAAGACCTTGTGATAAAATTAATGTTTCACTAAGTAAAAAATATTTTCTAAGTTCCTTTTAACTTTCTATTTCACTGATAGATTAATTAAAGCTATATCAGATAATTGGGGATTTTTCAGCTATCTTCCTAATATTGATTCCTACTGTAACTTAGTTTTGGTAAGAGTATTTCTATAATTCTAATACTTATTTGATTTGTTGAGATCCATTTTATTGGAAAGAATCTGATATATTTTGGTATGGCTTATGTGTACTTGAAAAATATGTGTACTCTAGTGGTGTGGTAAGTGGTAGGAAATTTTACTAATATCAGTTTGGTAAAATATATTGGCTGGGAGAAGTGGCTCATGCCTGTAATCCCAGCAGTTTGGGAGGCCGAGGGACACAGATCACCTGAGGTCCCGAGTTCAAAACCAGCCTACCCAACATGGTGAAACCTTGTCTCTACTAAAAGTATAAAAATTAGCCAGGCATGGTAGTGCACGCCTGTAATCCCAGTTGCTCAGAAAGCTGAGACAGGAGAATGGATTTAACCCAGGAGGCAGAGGTTGCAGTGAACCAAGATCACGCCATTGCACTCCAGCCTGGGTGACAAGAGTGAAACTCCATTTTCATTTACTTTTCTATTAGTTACTGAGAGAGGAATGTCAAAACCTCCAAATGGTGCTTAGTCTCTCTTAATTATTTTTAATAGAATTTTGATTTATTAATTAGATCAATATATCTCATATATACATTCATGTATGGAAATATATGTGTTTATACTGAATCTTGTAATTTACAGACATCATATCATACTATTTATAAATAATTTAGTATGTAGTTTGTTAGATTAAGAACACTCTCATGTAACCAAAGTATACATATATGTATCAAAATGAATAACTATACTATTATAATATTTCATGATGATGGAATTATATATATATTTATATTATATATATTTATTATATTATATATAATTATCTTATATATATATAACTATCTTATAAAGCTATTTTCTGTCCTGGTATAATATCCAATCTAGGATCTGGTATTACATTTAGTCGTCATACACCTTTCATCTAAAACAGTTACTTAATGTTTGTCTTTCAAAATTTTGATTTTTTAAAATAACAGTCCATTCTCTTTTAACACTCTCCTCCATTTTGTTTTGCCTAATATATTATGAATCAATTATTTTTACAAATGTGATTCAATATTATTCTCATTGCATAATATCAAAATGTGACTTTGTTTTATCTTTAGTGATGTTAAAAGAGTTACTTATATTTAAGTTTGAATTCTCTAGGTTAATCTACAGTAATAGTATTATATTTTCTTTATTTTAAATGGGTATTTTGTGACAAAATACTTTGATACTACATAAAGTTACAATACCTCCTCAAAGTTAGTTTTAGCATCCATTAATAATTTTGTTAGTACGAAATTAGTATTAACAAAATTATTATCATTATCATTGAAAAATTGTGATTTGATAAATCTTTTATGCTTTCCACATTATCAGTCAGAATTCTACTTTTTATTCATTTGTACATTTACACAATCATTTATTTATTATTAGTAATAATAAATACTTAATATTTATTCTATTCTGTGAATGTCACTTGCTAATTTTAGACATCTTGAAAGAACCTATGCAAGCTGAAGATATGACATGGAATATTAAAAAATAATATGTATATATATGTTTGTATGTGTATGTGTGTATGTATGTGTGTTATAGCAAAAGTAGTATATCAACAACTGATAAATCTTAGTAATAGAATATAACATTTCTTTGTATTATTTTTAAATTTTTCTTTAAGTGTAAAATTATATGAAAATAGACATTTTTTAAAATCACATTAATAGCAATATAATCAATAATCAAAACTTTAGGGTAAAGATTCAAATATTTTAATAAGATAACATAGAATAGCAATCCAGAAATCATTTAAAAAAAATTATTAGAGCAGTTTTACTAGCTTTTTGTTGTTCACACGGAGATAATGATCACAACAGATGACTCCACCAAATCTGATTATCTGATGACCCATCCAGTGGGTGAAAAGTCACTTTTCTTCTATATCTCATACATGCTTAAACTTAACACAAGTCAGTGGTGATGCTTATGGAATTAGCAAGAAACACTGGAATACTTTGTTTTTTAGAGTTTACATTAACTCAGTAAAATGTATTTCCAATATATGACATTAATATGTCAGGTGCTCTGTGCATTTTATGGTTTATGCATCTATTTATCAGTGAACCATTTGCCCCAATCTACAACACTGGATCTCTGAGCCTAGAACTGGCACCTTTTTTCGATGCATTTAATCTTGTAAAATGAAACACTATTGTGCCTTGAGTGAAAGCCTAGATAGGAATATTTTGATTTAGTTTTGTTTATAACATGGCTAGTGGGAATTTTTTCTTGTTTTTGCAATTTCTTAATCTATCCATACAAATATCTAGGATGCTTGAGTTTTTATCTTTTTCTGTTTGTTAATTTCACAGGCCAAGCTACATTTGACAGCATTTCTCCCCTATCATTTTAAACTGAAAATCCCAAGACTGATAAAATTTCAAAACTAAGCTGAAATAAGAAGAAGGAAAATAGTGTTTCCGGTGTTTATCATTCCACTGGCCCAACAACAACAGCCAATCATATTCAACTGAAATAATTTCAAATTACTTATTTAATACTAGATGTATGCCAACTAGGATATTAGATATAAAAATACCAAGTAATATAATTTATGTCTTTAAGTTCAATAGCTACCAGGGAACATAGACATGTTAACAATTAATTATAAAACAATCCTAGAGTGTCTTTTTTAATTGTGTTTACAAAGTTTTATCAAAGCCTAGGGGAATCAGTCACTTGGTTTTACACAAGTTATTTGGTCAAGTGAACTTTTTTTTTTTTTTTTCACAGATTGAAGCATCTGACTATTTCTAACACTGTGATCCACAGTATTAAGACAATTAAAATGCCATATTTAGGGAATATATAAATGTATTATTTTTCTTTATGCAAATTTCAAGTTGTTTATTATATTCAGAATGAGAAACATTACAAATATAGAAAATGCTGCAAAGTCAGCTTGGTTTTTGTACTTTCATATGAACTAGTCTCTGAGTACCCAGATTAATTAGCTAATCACTGCATTGTCAAGTCTCTATAATGCTCTCTGCTGTATCCTATCACTGACTTTTTCTGGGTTAAGATTTATTTTGGGAATTGAGAGCCAAGGCTGGAACACACTGAACAGAGTGTTCTATTTCTGTGTGAAATGATAGATGTTGCTCTTGCCCAGAATGAAAATGCTTTGCACTGCTCCCAATCTGTAAATTGTTCCATTTGCTTGGCATAATAAGTATACTGATGTATTTAATTCTGTCTACCAGGCCCATGCTGTTCAATTCCCCTCTGCTAGCCAAATATACCAGAAGTCATAAATTTCTCTCCAATAAGGAAACTAAATGTGATCTCTTCTATAAGTAAAAGCAGTGTTAGTGTCCTGTTATTATTTTTTGGAGTTACCGTATGTTTTAAATCCAAGATTAGCAAAAGATTTGTTATAATCTTTTCACTTTTATCAACTACTTAGTCCAGCAAACATACCGACAAAATAATTGTATATGCTCAAAGGTACAGTCTGTGGAAATGATTCGATGTTTGTATAACTACCACTTTCTTTCAAAATGAACCTTCATTTTGTTCTCTCCTTTTCACATACATCAAATGAAAAAAAGACTGTTTTGACTTCATATATTAAAAGATGAAATGACTCAAATATTATATTCAGCTATGCTATATTATATGATTTTGCTTTCTCCTGTATTATGTTTCTTATTTTTTTCCTTAATAAGCACAATTTGCCGTTACAGTTCTAAAAAAGGAGCAAGTCTCACAGGAACAAGGTTTGGGGGGTTTAAGTGTTATTGGTTTCCCTTTCATTTTCATATGAACAGAATCACACCCAAGGACTTACAACCTAAGAAGGTGATAGCAAACCATGGCACGCTGGTCCCATTCAGACCTTTGCCCCAGTTCTAAAACAAGTTTTCTTGGAGGCATTCCCATGCATCTACACGTTTTCTATGGCTGTTTTGTCACTACTAAGGCACACCATACTTTAAAAGCAACAATTTATGGTGTATAAATCACTTTATGACTGTAAAGCATCAATGTGCCAACTATAGTACAGTGGCTGATCATATGGAAAAGTTTACCATCAATGTAGTGGAAAAGTGCCCTCCCCATCTTGGTGTAGGAATGTATGAGATTTAATATTTTTAAGAAAATAATTTAATCTACACAGTTTCCTGAAGCCCAACAAAGTTAATCACTTCTTTAAAACTCCTTTATCACCAGTAGCACCAGAAGACTCACTGAGGAAATATTAAGGTTCTTCAAAGAGAAAGTGTTGGTTTTAGAATCAGACCAGAAATAGTCCATTCTAACTCTAGACTGAAAAATTAATAATTATGAACACTTAAACAAGTAACATTTTGTTTACTTTAATTTCTTTATCTTTAATAGATATAGGTCAGACAACATTGCTGAATTCAAGATCACCAGATGATATAGATATATGCTCTAAGTAACCATCCCAGAGCAGAGTTTAAAATAAAATAATGTTATTGAGATGTGTATTTAACTAGTTCTTACCCTATTTACACTCCTTTGCATCTATTGCCTCTAAATATTCTCTTTCGCAACTTCCTTTTCATGTTGGGTGACTTACACTTTCATAAAAATTTCTGGTAAACTCTAGGGACAGATTTATATGCGCTAATTTTTCACCACTATTACTTCCTTTGTTACTACAAATTATTATTATTTCTCATAGGTATCATATTCTGCTAGAGATGCATCTGATATATTTTTGTGAAGTGAGGAAGATACATCTTCTTCAGTTTGTGCCATGACACTCTGTCATGTAATAAACACACATACATTATTATTTAATTTCTTTTCTGACTTCCTAGTGTTATAAAAATGTAAACTGAGTCAAGAGAAATGTCTGCCCTCATATAATGATGACACAATGCCAGGCCAAATTTTATTTAAGCTAAAATTTATCCAAGAAAGAACTCTTCCTGATGGGCTCCTTTGTCCCTCAGATTTGTAGTCTAGTATTAAGAAAAATAAAGGAATCTACTGTCAGATAAACTCAGAGAGTTTTGAGTCTCAATGCTGGACTTAAATTAGATTGAATTTAATAACATGAATAAAATGTGCACTCTTTTATGAAGAATTCAATTTTTATAATTGTACTCATTTAAATTAATTTTATTAATATTTTAGTTAAAGAAATTATTTAAATGTTATTTGCATTGTTCTTAAATATAATAATGTTTAACCTTAATTTGTCTGAATATAAGCTGTCAGGAATTATTACTAAAGATAAAATTAACAGTGGAAAAAAATGTTCCAGATACTTTAATGAAAACAAAAAACATAAGAAGTAACAAACTTTTTAAAAACAGTATTCCCAACTGAATGCAAAACATGTTTGTCATTGAATGATGAGATATACTTGGACTTGAACAGAAATGGCTTTCATTTGCTATGACAACCCTCTGGCAGTACATTGCCAAAAAGTTTTAGAAATTTTATGTTTTAGAGTGACAAAACAATTACTATTGGAATCTCTTGCTGGTTGACAGGAAATATGACCTTACAAATGTTAAACAGAAAATCCCTGCAAAGAGAGCTATCTTTCTTGGTTGATGAACTCTCTAAGGAAAATTGTGCTATTGTATAAAGAATCAATTTATTTAGTCAAGAAACTGGGTCATCTCCAACTAACTTTCCATTTGACCTCATTATAATTGCATTTTTATGTTGGGCATGGAAGTCTTTATTCCTTACATCCATTGCTCTAATTTAAGGGGAAAAAGGCAAAGGAACGTAATAATCACAAATAACTATGCATACATATTTTAACCGTTTTAGAAAAAATTAAGGATATATAGGAAACTTTATGATTATAAATTATTTATGAACATGTCTTAATTACATTTTCTTGTTGTTTAGAAAGGTGATCCTTGAAACAGTTATACATTTGTCGAAAAGATTATTTCAATGAAATTATTCCCTTTTTCTTCCTTTTACATAAGCAAAAACTTGTGTTGGTAAATGTATCAACTTTAATGTAGTTTAAGTATATTATCAGGCAAAACTGGGGTTATAGGTCTGTAATAATTATATAATTTAATATAAGAAATCATTGGAATAAGTGATAAACAACTTTCCTCCTATGAATTTACACAAAGATTGACAATCCCTGGGACTACCTTAAATGAACGCTGCAGTCATCTTTTCTTACAGCTTATATTATAAATGCCCATCGTGTACTCAGCTGCTTGAGTGAGAAATCAACTTTAGTGATAAATAAATAATATTTATGATAAAAATATTAAGCATGTAACATTCAGTTGAATATGAAACTCACACTTATCTCAGTAAGTATAATATTTTTAAACCTTTTTGTTTCCTTCAATTTGAAAATGTTTATTGCATGTTGGTTTTCTATTTCTGCCATTAAGGTATGCATTAGCACACATTTCAAAGGGAAAGTTAATGTTTTCTTATTATGCTATAGGAGGGTTCTCCAAAGAAACAGAACCCAGAGGATGTGTTTATATATATATATGTAATCGCTCACATGAATAAGGAGGCTGAGGAGTCCCAATCTGTACTTCAGAGGAGTGCTGCTGTGGAGTTCTAGTCCAAAACCAAGGAGAACTGACAGGTAGTTTTAATATGGGTCCAAAGGCCTGAGAATCAGGAGAGCTATTGGTGTGAGTTCTAATCTGAGAGC
The DNA here is from genome assembly GCF_000001405.40 of Homo sapiens. Lineage (NCBI taxonomy): Eukaryota > Metazoa > Chordata > Mammalia > Primates > Hominidae > Homo > Homo sapiens. The sequence continues at coordinate 86,399,867 of NC_000013.11, read as the reverse complement.
TGGCCAACTTGAGACTAAAAAAGTGCCAATGTTTCAGTCCAAGTCTGCAGGCTGCAAAAGACCAATGAGCCAGCTCAGTCAGGCAGTCAGGCAGTCACAGGGAGTCCCTTCTTGCTTAGCCTTTTTGTTCTGTTCTGATCTTCAACTGATAGGATGAGGTCCATCTACATTATAAAGGGCAATTTCCTTTACTCACTCTACAAATTAAAATGTTGATATTAACATCTTCATAGACACACCCAGAATAATGTTTGACCAAATGTCTGGGCACTCTGTGGCTCAGTCAAGTTGACACATAAAACTAGCCATTACAAATACCCCTGAAAAAGAGTTGTCTCCCCACTATACGTAAAATGTACTGCTAACATCTGATTAAAGAGGACAGATTGAATGTTCTAAAACCCCACTAAAATAATTATTGAAATGTGTAAACCTAATCTTGTGGATTCCTGTTTCTAATCAACCCATGATAAGCCATGAAAGTAAGAGAAAAACACGAATTTCAGAAAGAACCAATCAAGTGACCAATCAATAAAAACAGCAAAAACACAATAATACTTGAGAACAGCCTAGGGAGAATAAAGACTGCAAAGACCAGTGTCTTTTTGTGCTTGAGTTAGGGCAGTGGCTAAGGTACATATGGCAAAAAGAGATTAAGAGCTTCAGATGAAAAAAAATTTTGAGATTATGCTTTTTTCCTCATTTATTTACTGTCTTTGAGTAACTTCTATTATAAAGTGTGTTGTGACAGTCATGACCACTGATACTGCAGTAGGTTGTGTTACTGGATAAATAGCAAGGCAACACAAAATCTTGCTGGGGTGAGGAGTAGAAAACTGTAAGTGCAAGCTAGCCTGTGGCTATTAAGATACTCACTGTTTTAATCTTTATCCTAGTATTCTGTTTTGTTTTGTTTTTCTCCCAATGCAAATTCTTTCTAAGTTTAAAAGTGAAACAGTAGCCAGAGGGTCTGCTTTGCAGAGAAGGCAAACAAGGGTGAACATCACAGCAGAAGTAATTAGATAGTCTTGTATATGGTGTACTTTGAATTACATAAAGCAAAAATCCACCGAATGTGTCATAGATACCTTATCAAGCAATTTCACTCAGATAAAATATTAAATTTGGTAAGAGGGGCTTATAAATATTGTTTCATGTTTCTACAAAACAGCTTTCTTTCAAATGTTTATGATATACCATACTTCTCACTAAACAATTGATGTATCACAATGCACTTATTACAAACAGTAATATTTCCTGCAGGTTTACAATTTTAAAATGACATGAGAAACTCTTTCACATAATTACGCCCATGTGAGAAATTCATGTGGCTAATGGCTATGAAATGTAACTACTTAATAAATTAAAATAAATATGATAGCAACATACATTTTGATGTGTGTGTGCACTGATTTTCACTATATTTAATTTGGTTATGCTATAAAAATAACCATTTATAAAATAATATTGACTATATAAATAATTGAGAAAGTATAGTTCTAAGATACTACATATCATGAGTCATACAAGAGAAAGAAATATGATTATGTAATAAAAATTATATTTCTCTGAATTCATAATTTTAAATTTTAGCAATAAAGATGTACATGTAAGAATATAATTATAAATATGTTATTAAAACAAGTATTTAGGATATCAGATGCTTGGGATTTACCACTGAATTATTTCAATGATAGTAACACTTTGTCTTTGAAATCACCGTTTGAGTAAATTTAAATGTTAGAATATAACACCATAGAATTTCCAATATTAAGCATGATATAAATATTTTATATGTTTTTAAAATAGGATATATTGATAAAAAGAAAATAAAATATGCCTTTATATCATAAGACAGTATGTATTAAGTGAGCTACATTATTAGAAATTCCATGATAACTACTTATATAACATAAAATAAAGCTTAAAATTAACTTAAAAATACTTAAGGCCTAGCATATGAAACATTTGCTGACATCAACTGTCTAAAATTTCAATGTGTTTATGCCAACTGCTTGTAAAGACTGTCATAACTTACAGACATGTGAAACAGCTACAATCATTCATTTGATTTATGCAGAAATTTCTTCTGTCCTTAGGCAAATGGTAAGGAAAAAAATAAGTGGATTCCTTCAAAAACATTTTCTAATTAGCTGCAATAGAATCAAAGACATTTTTAGTCAGTGTATCTCACACGCATGGGTTTGTAAAAGGAAAGTGATTATTACCATGTAATATATAGCACCATTTCTCTCATTTTCAATAACAAGATTTTAAGGGCCTTAAGAAATGAAGACAATCAAACTCTAGGCAGGGGTGTAAGCTTGATTTTAATTAGAAATTGAAATGGCTTTGATGTCACAAAAAATAATGAAATCAAAATTCTACTCATTCAGAAAAATTCAATAAAGAGATATATAAGTAATAAATGTACTATCGTATTTTTTTAATGTAGGAATAATATTACAGTATTAAAAACCTACTATCGAAGTATTCTCTTGATTATAACAAAATTTGAGCAACTAAAATACATGTTTTTGGATCACCTGCACGATGCCTTATTTAACATTGATAACATTTGACTTGGAGCAAAAAGCATGAACAAAATATAAAGCTCTTATGTATGACCCAAGTACCACTGTGACAACATCAAAAGACATGAAAAACGATGAAGTAAAAGACAATTATCTCCTTAGTGCGAAAACTATCAACTCCGTGGAAGAAATAATTTGCCTAGTAAACAGAAATACATTTGTCAGTTATTTGCCATTTTGAATATTTGCAGATGTGTGACTATCCTCCTTAATATATAAAATCCAGTGCTTTGTAATCCAGACATTTTCGACAGATATTGAATGCGGAAACCGACAAGGACCTTTGCATAATCCATCATCAATCTTATTTTTAAAAAAACAGCACGCATTATGTCATGCCTTAAAATGCTTGCCACCACTACACTCTTTTTTTCATTAAGAAAAATAAATGTTCAATATAGTCTTTCTGTTTCTACAAAAAATACAGTCAGAATATTTTCTATGAAAATTGAATTATTAATTACTCATTGTACATCTTCTCATTCTTTGAAATTTAAATAGTCAATAACGGCATAAAAAGAAAAAAGTGCTTACAAATATGAATATATTTTCAAGAAAAGGACCTAAAATTTAGCTTTCTAAAAAAGTTTTGTATTTTTCCTAAGTGTTAATTATTGATTATTACATTGTTTACAGTGATAAATATCACACTAATTTAAAACACAGTCTCGTGTCTTAAACAATCTCTTCACACAATCTAAGCTCAAATTTAGCTTTTTACAAAGGGGTAGAATTTTTCCTAAGTGATTAATAATTACTGATTATTACATTGATTACATTGATAAATCTCACACTAATATAAAACACAATTATCTCTTGATTGTGAGATTTATCAATGTAAACACAACCAGGAGATTGTGTTTTAAATTATAGCTAAAAGTTTGTTTTTACCTAAAATCGGTAAGATTGGTTAACTCTTTGTCTTATTAAAGGTTGAAAATTAAATTTCTTTAATTTTCTTGGTTATTAAACAAAGATCAAGCTAATATGTAAAAGCTTTGTAATTACACTGAATTAACATAGTTGCCAATGAAGAAAGAAAAAATTGGTTGAAACATTGAAAAATACAAATATTGATAGACAAACTACACTATATTTAATTTAATATATGCACTAAAAGTTATACCTTTTTAAATAAAGTAGCTTTAAATTTTTATTTTATGCATTATATTTCCACTGACTAAAAAATGAATGACAATGTTGAAACGTGCTCACCTAATTATATGATAAAAAACACTAATCTCTATTATATGAGTATTTCAGTAATAATACAAATAATTATTAAACATCTTTTGTCTCAGTCTTCTTTGTACCAAGGCCTTATACTGAGGATGTTTTGAGATATCTACCATCTAAAAAGTTAAAATGGAAAATACTATTTTAAATTTTTAAATTTATTTTATTATTTGTTTATATCTCTAGACACAGGAAATTTAAAACAATTGAACTTGAGGTAGCTTAATATCGCTTTTTTTTCTATACAATGAAGACAATCACAAGCAGACAAGAAAAGAGTAATATTAGTCACCAGAGTGGGAAATCACCATCTCTTTAACTAGGTCCAGATTGAAGTCAATTCTCAGACTCAGATTTCCTTGACTGATGGAGTAGCTGAGTATACTTGAATAAAGGTCCTGCAATCTGATAGCAAATATATAAATACAGACTTCCCCAATCCTTTCCCAGAGCACTTAAAGCCATTTATGTGAGGAATAGGAAATTCTCACATATATGAAGGGTGTTGATTACAAGTTTTGTTTTATCACAGGCACCAGAGGATTGGAAATGCCATTACACACTCCCCCACCTCCACAAACATCCCACATATGAGTTTCTTACAGAGTCTAGGAGACAAGTAATACCCTGTTTCAAATGGGTCCAGTGGATAAATAGGCACATCTAAGTTTCATGTTCCTGGTCACTGTATGCTCTGAATTAAAGTCTATTCTGGTCATGCCTAACAAATCATAAAAGCAAACTTCAAGCTTTTCATACTGTTTCCAAGTAGCCTAACTGAGTCCCAGAACAAACTCAAGAAAATTTATAAGGATACAAAAATATACATAACCCAGCAAGGTAAAATTCACAATGTTTAGTATCCAATAAAATATTGCCTACATGCTAAGAAGCTTGAAAGTACAATCCACAAAAAGAATTTTAAAAAATAATAAATGAAAATGAACCCCAAAATGATACAAGTACTAAAATTAACAAACAGACCTTAAAACAGTCACTATAATCATATTAAATATGTTCGAAATGACAAAGAAAACATAGGTTTAGGAAGTTAAGTAAGGAAAAAAGATTTTTTTAATACATAAATTCAAATTCTGGAGATTAAAAATAGAATGAGAGGACAGACTAAAATGGATTGGTAGCAGATTAGACACTGCAGAAAACAATTAATGAACTTAAAGACATAGAAGGAGAAAGTAATAAATTGGAACACGGAGAGAAAAAATAATAATTTAAAGGTAGTGAATAAAGTATAAGTGTACTCAGAGCCACTTTTAAACAGACCAAAATACTAGATGTACTTAAAAACCCTAAGTATAATCGGAATCTTTGAAGGATAGTAATGAAGGGAGACATAAAAATGGTTAATGTAGTAGTGTGTGATAATTTTCTAAATTGGTAAAAACTACAAAACTATAGATCCGAGAATTTTAATAAAACCCAAACACACAGAAATAAAATGAACAAAACTTTATCAAGCATATTATAATCTAATTGCTTGAATGAAAAACATAATATCTTAAAAGTAGCCAGGTAATAAGGACATATCACATGTACAGTAAAAGACATAGTAACATAACTATTACCTTTATGAAAAAAGAGAATAAAGAACAACGATAAGAATCAAAGAAGAATTCTCAGAAACAATGAAAGCCTGAAAATAGTGGAGCAACATATTAACACATTGACAGGAAAACAAAACAATACAAAATCAAGGGCACACTCACATTCTATATCTAGAGCTAATATTTTTCAAATACAAATCTAAAGTTTCCTTAACATACAAATCTTGACATCAAATCTTCAAGAGAAGACCTATACTACAAGCAAGGTTAGGAAAGACAATGTGCCCAGATGGAATCTGATCTACCCAAAGAAATCGAGTAAAAGAGAAGTGAAAAATATGTGGGAATATATAATATACTTATTTTTCTTATTGCTTAAATATCTTTAAAATACAGCTGACAGTTTCAAACCAAAATATTATACTATGGGCTTATAGTATATGGAGTATTAAAATGCATATCACTAATAACACAATTCACTTGCTGGCATGAATTTCTTATTTTAGAAGTGAAATAGTGTATTACTTGAAGGTTGACTGTAAAAATCCAAAGACATTGTGATAGGCAAAATTCTGATGGCTTCCAACTTTCCACCTTTTGTGGTACATGCCCTGCAAAATATCTTCCCTTTTAGTACACATGTTCTTAGACTTACATGCAGATATGTCCAGATAAACTCATCACAAGTTGAAAATATCACGTCAGTTTACAATATTTTCAACTTACCTTGGCCAGGATGGTCTCAATCTCTTGACCTTGTGTTCCACTCTCCTCGGCCTCCCAAAGTGCTGGGATTACAGGCATGAGCCGCCACGCCTGGCCTCAGCTGTAATATTTTTTGTTCCTTCTCGACCCTTTTTTATTGTTGATCTGATTGAGTTTTCTCAGAAGGAATTCTTTAGCTCTAGATTTACTCTGTTATCTTAACCAAGGGGACACATAGATGTTTCCATTGTGATGCCTTTATGTAAATGCCATACATTTAATATTAAATGTTTGTATATTCTGTTTATTGCTCATATATTTTATAAAAGTTTTTATACTATAATTATTTAATTTGTATTGATATATAATATGAACACATATTTTGAGGCTACATATGATATTTAGATATATTCAAATAATGTGTAATGATCAAATCAAAATAATTTATCTATCACCTAAAATTTTTCTTTTTTCTTTATGGTGGGAACAATTAAATTAATCTCTTCTAGTTATTTTGAAATATACAATAGATTATTGTTAAGTAAAGTTACCCTACTGAACTATCACACAACGGATCAATTTTATTCAAAATTTTGTTCCAAACTGTACTTTTTATCATCATATTTTCTATGCTCAGACTTTGATTGTGAACAGGGAACTCAGTTCAGTGTCTGAGTCTCATCAACATTTCTGACAACTAATTTATCAGTCTGAAAATAGTGTATTAAACTTTTAGTTTTAAAGATAAAATTGCTATGAAAAAAGTGCAAATATAGGGTTATATTTTTCACATAGTTAAATTAAAAAATTCTTTAATCATTAGGAACTTCATTTTTGTAAGTTTCCGTATTTTGTTTGTTATTAAAATTTTTATTTTGAAATAGAAGAGCTGAGGCTGTCATAAGTTTTGTAGGGTTACAATTTGAGGTGAATGAGAGAAAGCAAATATAAAATGGCAAAATCAAAATGTCAAATCATTCAGCTTGAGAATTGTTTAAAAAAAACTAAAATGTTTCAGAACTTATAAAATGTTAATTTAAATTATGTTTCTTTTAGCAGAAGATAAATACTCATTACAGATTTGGTTAAAATTACATAAGCATGTTAGATGGTAGAAGGGATTATAAAGCTTGGGAAAATATAGCATTTGTTTTCTTAGGCAAATGCACAGGAAGAGAAGAAAATATCATGCCTTAAATTGCTAAAAGAAGTAAATGGTTATGATTTGGTACATTTATCAATTCCAGTCTTGACACTCACCTGGGAGGCAGTACCACACACAAAAAATGTGACTGGTGAGAACCTGAAACTTAAAAGGTTAATAGCTTACCCAAGTCACATAACTACTTTGCATCGCAATGGAATTTGGGTGAAAATTAGTTTGTCAAACTGCAAACGCATGTTCTTGCTTAGGCTGCTATAGTGCCTCCATCTATTACTGTAACAATTAAAGATTTGTATTTTAATAAATGAGGCAATGCATACATGTATGAAATATAACATGATAGCAATTTAATACCATTTATCATTGAAGTACATGGGTATTTTTTCAAATACATGTTTTACACATTTGGTCTGGAACATAACTTATAATTAGCTTACATTGACCTACTATCATCAGGCATGCTAAAAGAAAATTTAGACATTTGAAAGTTTACAAAAGGTTAATTGAAAAAATAAATTTATAAAAATTGTCCATTTAACTGGCTTTAAGCAATTTAGGATTGAAAGCAATTACACAAGCTATAGAATTGAAATATAGTGTAAGCTTTGAAGTATGTACTGACATAATTATGTGGACCATCACATTTTTCTCCCATTTGATGAAAAGAAAGAACTAGATAGAATTGGCTCAAAGGCAATGGTATTTCTCCAACAAAATAATTCCTTAGGGGTTAAAGAATCAGGAGAAAATCATCTAATAACGTGCAAGCAGAGGTATCAAGTTAAGATTTTAATGCCATTTAATTGACATAAATGTGAAGTGACTCTCTACTATAGCTAGCAAACATAATTACAGAGCACAGCTAAAGGGTTATAACTCTGGAAAATTATGCTTTTGGTGAGCTACCTCTTGTTCTTATTTTAGAGAGAGGAGGAGGAGAAAGAGAGAGCTGGATCTTTGTTTTTATTGATAATTTCTCATTCTATTTTGTCAAGTATATATCAAGACACAATTACCAATACATGAACATGTAAATTTACATTTAAATATTACTGGAACAAAGTCATCTAAGGGCTAAATGTACATATACAACCATGCAAATGATCCAGTATCTTGGAATTGTGTAAAAAGAACTGAAAAATGTAATAAAAGGTATGATCTGGACTGGGAAAATTTATCTACAAAGAGCAGAAGCTGCAAAACAACTCAGATCTATCACAGCTTCAAAAGGAGATATATAGAAAGATCAATCTGTGTGCCAATTTTTAATAAAATCTAATAAAATACTCTGTATTTGAATGAAGGAAACACATGATTAAACATCTTCAATCCCAAAATGTTACATTTGATTCTATGCAGAAATGTCATTTTAAAGTTACGTACACATTATCAGCATACATTTAGTTTACTTTACTGATATTTGTAGATTTACTTTTTAATTTTAAATCACAACCACAAACTTGATCATTAACCTACCTGGTTACCTCCTTCTATCCAAATAGAAAGCAGGATTACTCTGTCTCTTTTTATTGCCTACATTACATTTTATTCATATCCCTAGTTTAGGAACTGTCACATTTTACTTTAAGGTTTTCAAGCTTCTAATAAATAGTATTGTGAACTTTCTGAGACTAATACTATGTGCTTTATTTTTATCTGCATTTTGATAATGAGAAGAATGCCTAATTTAAAAGAAGGCTTCCATAAATATTTATTAGAATACTTAAATATATTGTAATCGCTTAATAATTTACTTAACTATATTTGGTCGTGATATTCAATATAAACACCATTTCTACTTAGCCATTCAGCAAGTCAATGCCCTTATTATAATAAAAGGGTTGCAAATATGAAAAGAAGTGCAACGACAGAAAAAGCTTCTTAGTCTCTCTCTTTCTCTGTCACACACACAGACACACAAACACATACAAATGCACACCTACACTCATACGTTCTCCCACGTGGACGTGTTTTTTTATGTAATTATCTTTACCTAAAGTGCCTTTCTCTGTTACCACAAGATAAAATTCCACTGTCCTTTAAGGACCAATAAAAACTCATAAAACCTTCAGACTCACCATTGTATTTCTTATTGATATCCTTTCTCCTTATTTTTATTTATCATAATATATCCTAGGAGCTCACAAATATTATCATTTAACACTTGATTGTTATCTAATGTTTTCCAAAAATCCTTAGTGTTTTTCTTGCTTTCTTTTTCTACCTTACTTCCTTTACATCCAAACTGATGACAGGTCCTGCCAATTTCTACCTTCTCAATCAAGTACAGAACGTAATGAACATAACGTAGTAAAAAGTAGTTTAAAAATAGCCTAGTAAAAATAGTAGCCAGTTATCTTTAAAAACTGACTTACTTTTCCAACTAGTTCTGTACAACTACTTGTTAGAGAAACTCTCTTCTCTAATAGTTTATTAACCCTTTTCTCTGCCTTCACTTGTGGTCTAGACGAATTATTTAGGCCAGGAATCAGCAAACTGAGGCCCATCTGCTCATTATCGTACAGCCAGAAGTTCAGCAAATAAAGTTTAATGAAATAGAGTCACCTTTACTAATTAATGGATATATTAACTATACTAATTTCTTTCCACAAGAGCAGAGATGAAGAGTTATGAGCAATGTCAGCAAATGAAAATGTGTACTATTTGGTCCACTAAAGAAAAGTTTGTCAGTCTCTGATTTGGAATATTACATCTATTCTTTCTAAAGTATAAATTAGATTATTGCATACGTTGTTTAAATTCCTGATTTATGTGTATTACTATGGGTAGAATTTCCAAAAACACCTGTTCCTCTGGCTCAAGAACGCCATTGGCCTTGACTCCTGTCATTCTTACTCCTCTTTTATTTTTTCATGACATACATTTGTTTGTCTGTCTGTTTGAGACGGAGTTTCAGTCTTATCTCCCAGGCTGGAGTGCAATGGTGTGATCTCGGCTCACTGAAACCTCCACCTTCCCTGTTCAAGCAACTCTCCTTCCTCAGCCTCCCAAGTACCTGGGTTACAGGTGTGTGCCACCACGCCCAGCTAATTTTTGTATTTTTAATAAAGATGAGGTTTCGCCATGTTGGCCGGGCTGGTCTCGAACTTCTGACCTCAGGTGATCCTCCCAACCTTGACCTCTCAAAGTGCTGGGATTACAGGTGTGAGCCACTGCACGTGGCTCATGGCATACTTTTACTTTTCTTTAGATCCATATATAAATATCACCTCTTCCAAGAGGATTTCATGACCTCCCATTATTTTACCTTTTTCTAACTTAAGTACTAAGTCAGTTAAATAACATTAAGTCAGAAACGTCCAGAGAAGCAGAAACAATAGGAGATACACTCATACATGCATATATATATATATATACACACACACACACATATACATACATATATATATATGTATACACACACACATATACATACATATATACTCATATGAAGAGATTTATGAGAATTTGGGTCACACAATTACAGAGGCTGAGAATTCCCATAATCTACTGTTTGCGAGCTGCAGGCCCATGAGGACCAAAGGCATATTTCAGTCTAAGTCCAAAGGCCTGGTAAGTAGAGGAGTCAGTGGTATAAATTCCAGTCCTCAATGGATTGAATGAGGCCAAACCACATTGGGGAGGGCAATGGACTTTACTAAATGTGCTGATCCAAAGTGTTAATCTAGAATTAGCCTCAAAACACATCCAGAAATAATGTGTAGCCAAATATCTGCATGCCCCTTGACACAGTCAAGTTAATGCATAAAATTAATCATCACAAACGTAAACTCTCATTACTTTTATTTTTGTTTTATAGTACTTGTGTCAATTGAAATCATACTGTTTATTTTGATTATTTGTTCAAAGTATGGCTCAACTACTGCATTGAAAACACTAGTCAGAAACCAATATAAAATTAAATATTATTCTAGTACAATGCCTGATAAATAGTAAATGAAAATATAAATATTTTTGAATGAATAAAGTAGCTTACTTCTGCAAGCAAATGTTGATAACTCTATCTGCCTAATTGTTATGCTATGCTTTAGAGTCTTTGGTTACCTAGTATAATGCAGCCCTTGTGCCTCCTCTACTTACCCTTTCTCCCTTTGTTCATAACCCTTACTCTACATCTTGTAGAATAAATGAATTTAATAATACTCAGGACTTTGTCAAGAGCTTGCCATGTAGTAGGTTCTTGATCAATCTTTACTGAATAATTAATTTTATTTTATTTTATTATTATTATTACTATACTTTAAGTTCTAGGGTACAAGTGCATAACGTGCAGGTTTGTTACATATGCATGGATGTGCCATGTTGGTGTGCTGCACCCATTAACTTGTCATTTACATTAGGTATATCTTCTAATGCTATCCCTCCCCCCTCTCCCCACTCCACGACATGGAATTAAATTTATTTTAATTTCTCCACCTATCCTCGCTAACTCTAAGCAATGGATTGTATATTTTCATCTCTGATAAGGCTAGAATTTTGTTGATGGTTTGATGCTTTGAATAGAGTAGAATTTTAGAACTTTAGAAATTTAGAACTAAATTTCCTAAGCCATAAACACCACCTTTGTCTTGCAAAACTCACATTTTTACTCAAATTCTACACTCCTCATGATTTCAAGATACCATATTAAAATATTTTATTGTAGTTTCTACTCTTATTCAAATACTTCACACATGACATACCTATTTTGCAGGCATTTTCATATTAATTTAGTGCAGAAATTACTTTACCTGTGTCAAATATGTCTTCCTTTAATCAAACTCCCTATTCTACCAACTAAAATTTAGGAGCTCACAATTTGGTAAGAAAGATAAAGCTTTTACCAGTTACAAAATGATAAAATACAGATTATATAATAGTAATGTTTTAAGATTTGGCAGTCACAAAGATTACATTTATTTAAGTTTTTCAATAACAGCCTATTAAGTAAATTATCATGTACTCTAATATAAATATTTTTTGTTTTAATTGATCTGATTAAAATATAAATTTTTTCCTACATGTATAATACTAAATGTTTGTTTTTTTTTACAATGTAAACTAATAGGTGAAGATTTAATTCCAAAATAATTATAGAAGAAATACATGTTTAACAAGATATCTTTGATGGAGAGCATAAAATAAATATTTTAAATAGAATCAAATTATTTTAACAAAAAGTGTACTAATGGCCTTTCTTTAGGCACCCATCCAATTCCCTATCACATTTTCATTTTATGTAATAAATTGAGTAACCATTGCGTAAACTTAAGAAATCTAAAATAATTTATACAAGAGGAAAAGAAATAAAATATATTTTGCAATAAATCAAGAACTCTGATATATTCAAAGAATTAGATGAAAAGGACAAATTTTACTTTTAAAGAAAGCTACTCTTCTAAAGAAAACTCAAGCCATAATCTTTGCATTTCGAATGAAGCAAACTTAATAATGAGATATAGAAATTGGAAACAAAAACCAAAAAAGAAAAAAAAACAGAGAAAATCTTGTTTTTTATAAGGTGTTCTGCAACAGTGTTTGCCAATTCTAAAATACTGTGTCAAATCTTTTGAAAACCTGAAACCTCAGAGGAATTTCTATGACAGAAGAGACAAAAGTTGACAAGAAAACGTCCACTTGTTTGGTGGGTGATGATTATCTGCCTTTTTTCTGACATCGCCTTTTCTGCAATTCATCCTTTTATCACCCTTTCTTTTGGCAAAAGAAATAAAACTGATTTCAGCTAAAGATACTGAATATCACTTGTTAAAATATATAGCCATTTCAACACTATATTTATGAAAGTGAATGAAAATATACTGAAGAAAATCTTTAAGTTGCTCACACAGAGTTGAATATACTATATTTACAAATAAATAATATAAATTGAAATAATATAATCTAAAACATAGAATTAATCAGCTTATTTTTTAAACTCTAAACCTATTTATATACTTCCAAGTAAATAATGAGGACATTTCTTATAATATTATAATTATAAAATATATACAAATACACACAAGATAATACTAATTCTTATAAACGCTATAATATACAGTCTTTACCTGACATATTCCTTTCACTTAAAATTTTGCACACTTCTGATAATGTATATCCTTCCTATGTTCCTTCCTATTCTTAAGGAATTAGTTTCTTCAAGAACTCCTCACTAATTAAGTTATAATATATCTTGATGTAAATATCCAAACATGACACTTCTAATTTAAACATATCTCAAGGTTACTAAATGTAATAATACAAAGGCACAAAAGCTTCCTTTAATCCTGGTTTTAACAGCTATTCTGCCACATCTCTTTTCAAGCATAAGTAACTTCTACACATATTATATCTAACTTTAAAATACTGTTATTTCTCAATCCAGTGAAACTCAACTCTGTCTACAATAATTTATAAAAGGTAATTTTGCCATCAACTCCAGAAAGCTTCACATCATAATTGATCTAATTTAGTTCGTATCTACTATCATTTGCAGTAGCATTTAATACTAAGAATTATTCCTTCGCTTTTGAGGACCACCCCTCTGTTGGCTATGATTCAGACATAAAAAATCAAGAGCCTCTTGTTACCCTCAAGCGCATATCTCACAGGCACTTTAACTCATGTCTAGAACTGTACTTACAACCTTGTCTGTCATCTTGACCCTCTTCCAGTGTTTTCTATCTCAGTAAATGTATCAGAACCTTCCCAGTTCACGGTTTAAAGGTTGTATTTAGCCTTAACATTTGTTCTTTTCCCCTCTTCTGACCACAGGTCCAATTAAATGCAAAATCACTTTGTGTCTCCCTTCTAAATACCTCTTGAAACTATTGCTTTTACTCACATTGCCACCACTGCAGTGCAAGTCAATACATTCCCTTAACTTTATTAGTGTAGTAACCATTCATACTTACCTACTTATCCTCCAATCTGCCTCAGCAAATAAAATGTAATTTAACAATAATAATATATTAGCCATCAATCAATTACCATTTGACTTGAAAAAGTACAAGAACAAAAACAAAACTAAAAAATTTAAATATTCAAAACTAACAAAGAAATCCAAATATTTTTGAAATAGACAAAAAGTCCATATGTTATCCCCCTGCATATTTCATGAGCCTCATCTCATGTAATTTTTCCCTACAATGGTAATATACTCCTTTTCTTTACATTTAAAAAATATTATTATTATTATTATTTTTTTGAGACGAAGTCTTACTCTGTCAATCAAGCTGGAGTGCAGTGGCACGATCTCTGCTCACTGCAACCTCCACCTCCTGGGTTCAAGCCATTCTCCTGCCTTAGCCTCCCGAGTAGCTGGGACTACAGGCATGTGCCACCACGCTCGGCTAATTTTTGTATTTTTAGTAGAGGTGGGGTTTCACTATGTTGGCCAGGCTTGTCTCAAACTCCTGACCTTGTGATCTGCCCACCTTGGCCTCCCAAAGTGCTGAGATTACAGGCGTGAGCCTCCGGGCCTGGCCCCAAAAATACTATTTTTTCTAATTGAAATTCTTGTTTTTTATTATTACTTTACTCATTACTATGCATACCTCATCTTAAATTGACCCCAGAAGCTCTTAGTGTCAACATCAAAAAAAAATCTTAAAGGCAAGTATAACCATATAGTGCAAGAAAGAAGGAGCTTTAGCTTGTCAAGTTGTGAAAAATTCATTGTGAATTCATGACTTTAAAAGATATACTTTCTGGCTTTGTCAATGTTAAGATGAATAAATAGTAACTGCAAATGCATTTCTGCACACCATCAAACGCAGGAGCACCATTAGTTTTCAGATTTTTGTCCTTAAACTAATTGCTACTAAGAAAACAAGGAATCCTTGGAGGGTATTTGGTCCCACAGGTTGGACCAAGAAAAGTCAAAATGAGTCTGAAATATGCCATTATCACCAGAACTAGAAATGCTCTGAAGAAAAGCACAAAGCAATGGTAAGATCAAGTAGGCTACTAAAGGGTTTTTTTTTGTGGTAAGTTGTAATACATGGAACTTTAAATAATAAGAATAATGAAATCAATCAAAACAAAGTAACATTGTAAAACCTCATTAATTCATAATGATATTCTACAAATTCCAATAAAAACATAGACATAAGACAATTATACAAAAAGTTGATTATACTTATTTTATAAATATTTATTTTTGTTGATTTTAATAAGTAGGACATTGTTTTTGTTTATATTTTTGCTTCCTTTGTAAAAGGGACGGTTTATAAATTTCTTGTTTCTATTGTTTAAGCAGAAAATAGTTAAATAGAATTTGTGAGTGAGCCAGTTAGTTTTGAAGAGTAGGATTCACAATAACAAGCCAGGTGAATCAACATTAGAGTTCATGTATGATAAATATACAGAAAGTGATGCATCATATACAACAGGTAATTAAAGGATGATTCCAATAATGTATTCCCTAATGATGAATTACCAAAATATTCTAAAAAAAGCAAGTATGAAAATTCATTCCCTCATTTTATCAAAGAAGAAAATTGAAGGTGGCTCTACTAACTGCAATAAAATATGAATAAGAAATATATACATTTAAAAATAAATATTAGGTAAAATATATTTTGTAATATAATACAATATGTTTATTTCAAAATATGACTAATTTAGTTACCCAGCCATGTAAACTTAAAAAACATACAAACCTTTTCTTATTGGAGACAAATAAGAAACTCTAAATTAAAATTAATATTTAATACAAAATACAGTGTCCCATTATGTAACAAGTAAAAATCTGTGACAAGAGACACAGCTCTCTCTCCTTACACTGAGAACAAGTACCTGTGACTGGAGCAGGAATAAACCAAATTCTGCATTGCTGTAGGCTTTTTTTGTTTGGTTTGGTTTGCTTTGTTTACTTTTGATTTGTAAAAATCGAGGACTAGGCATTCAAATAAATAATAAAATTACATAACAAAATACATTTAAGAGTAAAGCAAACTTAGTGGTTCAATTAAAATCCACGACAGTTACATTCATTAATGATCTTGCACATTTATAGCTTTGTATTCATTGTAACATTGCATGTACATTTCTCTGTTTAAGAGTTTGAAACATTTAGTGAATAAACAATATTGTCACAGGATCTTCAGGGTGTCTCTTCACCAGCTGGTCCTTAATGCCTCTGTTTGGGTTTTGCTTGCACCTGCTGGGCTCATTCTGTCCACTCGGCCCAGCAAGCTACACTCAGCTTGTATTACCAGCCCAGATCCCATGCCTGCCAAGGGTGGGCCAGGAACAACGCAGTAAGGGGCATGTGAGTGAGCAAGTGCAGGGTTCGGCCACTGTGCACAGCCAGGCATGCCAGCTGCAGCAGGATGGGCAGCTCCAAGTGCTGGCACAGGCACCAGCTCTGTGAAAGGCTGTGGCTGGACCAGACATACCGCAAGTTGCCTCCACTGTGGGAACCAGGGTCTGGACATGGAGAACATGGTGGCGCCCCAAAGTTTGGAGATACCAGGAATTGCAAAGCCCCAAAGAGGGGGTTATAGCATGTCACATCCCTGGCTCAGGGATACCCAAGGTCTGGGATCCCAGAAGGGCCACAGCTCTTCTCTCCTCATCACCCGTAATGTGGCGCACATGGGGAGTGTTTCAGCCCTGTTTGTGTCACAGCTCTTGAAGGCCCTCCATTCTACAGGTCCTGAGTTCTTGTTGCACATCAAGAAAGAATGAGGTACATGGACAATTGGAGGGTGAGCAAGAGCTTCAAGGAGCAACAGAACAGCTCTCAGGAGACTCAAAGTGGGTAGCTCCTTTTTGCAGGCAGGTCGTCCCCATGAGTGTCCAGCTGTCAGTGGAGGGGAGACCTGTGGTGAGGAGCTCCTTTCCTTAGACAAGTTGTTCGAAAGAGTCGAGGAGACTGGAAGTGGGTAGCTCCTTCCCGCAGCTGGTAGTCCTGACGTCTGAGTCTGGGCTTGTTATGGGCAAATCATTCTCTACAAGCATTTGGGGATGAGAGTTTTTAATAATCAAGTAATTTGGGCCGGGTGCGGTGGCTCACGCCTGTAATCCAGCACTTTGGGAGGCCGAGGCGGGCGGATCACGAAGTCAGGAGATTGAGACCATCCTGGCTAACACGGTGAAACCCCGTCTCTACTAAAAATACAAAAAAAAAAAAATTAGCTGGGCGTCGTGGCGGGGGCATGTGGTCCCAGCTACTCGAGAGGCTGAGGCAGGAGAATGGCGTGAACCTGGGAGGCGGAGCTTGCAGTGAGCGGAGATCACACTACTGCACTCCAGCCCGGGCGGCAGAGAGAGACTCCGTCTCAAAAAATAATAATAATAGTAATAATTTGGTGTGGGAGGAGTGGTGGACAGTGAATCGGAAATGCTGATTGGTTTGGTGGATGATGAAATCATTGGGAGTTGAAGCTGTCCTCTAATGCTAAGTCAGTTCCTGGATGGGGACCACAAGATCAGATGAGCCAGTTTATCAGTCTGGGTGGTGCCAGTTGATCCATCAAGTACAGGGTACAAAATATCTCAAGAACTTATTGTAGGTTTTACAATAGTGATGTTATCCCCAGGAGCAATTTGGGGAGGGTCAGAATCTTGTAGCCCCACGATGCAAGACTCCTAAACCATAACTTCCAATATTTTAGCTAACTTATTAGTCCTACAAAGGCAGTCTAGTCCTTACGCAGAGGAAGTTTGTTTTGGGAAAGGGCTGTTATCATCTTTATTTTAAACTATAAACTATAAACTAAGTTCCTCCCAAAGTTAGTTTGGCCTATGCCCGGGAATGAAGGACAGCTTAGAGGGTAGAAGCAAGATGGAGTTGGTTAAGTCAGATCTCTGTAACCGTCTCAGTTATAATTTTGCGATGATGGTTTCAATGGTTTCAATCATTTCTCTCCATTACTTTTTCCTGTGACAATAAGAAAAACCAATGAACATCATTATATTTCTTAGTTTTCAAAAACTGTTCAAAATGTTAAATACAGATTCACTTAGCTCCTTTCTTATTATAAGTGGTTGATTGGGAGTATCCAATGCAAAGGTTTTACGTAACTATAAAGTTTGCATCACTGACTGTCAGTGCTCAATTTACTATTGAAAACAGTCATTAATGTCTTAAATCTAATCGAACTTAAGAGCCAATACCAGACACCCCAGAATCAATTCAGAAAACCAAACCTTAAATTTTGTTTCTCCAGATCCACTCTCTGTACCAGAATCTGTATTAGTCAGGGTTCTTCAGAGACACAGAACCAATCAGAGATATGTAGAGATATAGATATAGGTAAGATTCATTATAGGAATTGGCTCAAACAATTATAGAAGCCAGTAAGTCCCACCATCTGCTGTCTGCAAGCTGGAGAGCTAAAAAAGCATGTGGTGTAATCAAGTCACAGCTCAAAGGCCTGAACGCCAGAATGAGGGTGAGGTCAGGTGGGGAAAGTGAATGTGGTTTTCCTTCAGTAAGTCTACTGATTCAAATGCTAATATTTTCCAGAACCACCATCCCAGAAACACTCAGAAATAATGTTTTACATCTATCTTGGCACCTTTTAGCCAAGTTGATACATACAATTAACCATCACACGCTATCATCAAGTCATTGAAAAATAAGGATATAAACTATCAGGTTGGTATTATTCATAGATAATATTTACTCCACAACAGTATAATCACTTCAAACATAATTCTGATAATTAATTTTCCTTTTGCCATAGAGGACCCATGGTAGCCATTAATAAATGCAGAATGATGTAACAATAAATACTGCCACATGCTCTAGTTGATAATGTCATGCATGGACTCTTCATGTACATAATTAACAAGAGTCTTGACAGTAACAACATATATTTTCAGAAGGTTATTTGAGAGCTGTTTTGTAAACATGTCTTCTAGTGTACACTGTAATATTTATATTGTATACATTAAGCCTTCAGTGAATCCTAATCATTAATATGCCATGAATAAATAGAGCACAAAAGGGCACATATTTCACTTAATCTAACACTTTAATGGTAAGTGCACTCAAGTGATAATTTTCCATATACAATCAATTTATTTAATATTATGAAACAATTTAATTTATTTACAAAGTATGTCAAACAAACTTTCAACTATAATAATAAATTACAGTGCATATTGCTTAGCTATTGTAGTTTCTCTTAAGGAAATAGTCTCATTTTGCTTTGTATGTTTAGTCCTCTAAATGTCTTTTTTATAGTGGATATATAGAGAGAGGATATATATATATATATATATGTATTCATAAAATAAAGATTGGCCATATACATATAAAACACTAATAAAAATTTACAAAATAAGAAAAATATTTTTGCTGTTCATAGGCTGATAAAATTTTTTGTCATTTTTGAAACCTCATTACAAATCCCTTTCTACAAAAATGTAGGTCTCCAATGCCAGTTTCAATGCAAATAGGATTTTTCTTATTTTTTCATAATAATTTTTTATAATATATAAAAAGACATCACATGTATTTCTGCTTTAAATTGCTACCAGTCAGAAATATAACCTGTGGTTATTTTATGTCAGAAAAGAGTCAATTTAGTTTAATGTAACATTATTTTATATGATCATGGAAAGATCTATAATGTGAAAATTACCAACAATGAGATAATATTTTTGAAATATTTCAGAGATCTTCTGGAAAGCAAATGATAATGAGTATAATACTGGAAAGCAAGTGACAACTACTCAATGGAGTATACCATAAGAAAAGTAAATGTCTTGCTAAGTGTAATAGAGAAATTAAAAACACTCTCTGAAGACATAATGGGTATTAACATTTTAATATCTGAGACCATTGACAGAAAAATGGAACTGCTGCAGCTTAGATATCATAGGAAACTTGAAAGTTATCTGAGAGAAAATATTTAATTATTAAAAACTAAAACTAAAATTAGAGAAAGTCATCTTGAAGTGTATAATAAAAGCATGTTGCCTTAAATATATTTGCAAGCACATGCACAAACTTATACACTAAATGGATAAATAATTAATTTTCCTACAGCGCAGGGCATATCTATCTACAACAATCAATTTTATCTTTCTCTCTCTCTCTTCTAAAATGTAAAACGAACAGTTTCAACAGATGATTTACAAAGAATGTTGTCCTCTTCTGAGGATTCAAAGATGAATAAGACCAAGTTTTCATACAGAAAGAGATGGCTATTATAAGTGAATACTGATAATGTCACATTTAAAAAATATTGACAGGCCGGGCACGGTGGTTCACGCCTGTAATCCCAGCACTTTTCGGGGCTGAGGCGGGCAGATCACGAAGTCAGGAGTTTGAGACCAGCCTGACCAACATAGTGAAACCCCGTCTCTACTAAAAAATACAAAAATTAGCCGGGCATGGTGGCACGCGCCTGTAATCTCAGCTACTCAGGAGGCTGAGGCAGGAGAATCACTTGAACCCGGAAGGCACGGAGGTTGCAGAGAGCTGAGCTCGTGCCACTGCACTCCAGCCTGGGTGACAGAGCGAGACTGTCTAAAAAAAAAGAAAAAAAAAAGTGTTGACAATATAAATTTGATACATAAAAATATTCAGTGTAAAAAAAAGATGCCACTAGGATTTGAATAAGATTTTGTAGGAATAGTATCATAGGGTAGAAAATTTGGAGGAAATTCATGAACAAGTTACATGTCTTATGTGTCTTCATAAGTAAGTAGGACAGCTTATTGACAGTCAACGAGAAGCAAAGGTGTTGAAAATGGAAATGTTTGTTGAGGAGACTTTAAAGGGTAAGCAGTGGTTTAAAATGTTTGTATAACATAGAGTCCATAATGCATACTGGCAGAGTTGAAGTTGAATATTCAGGGAGCAAATGATGAAAGGTTTCATATTTCATATGCCACACCAAAAATTATTATGTATAGTCAATGAAATGTCTTAGAGGATTTTAAGTCGGAGATTCATATTAACAGATTCAAATACTGGATATTTTAACACTGTGGAAGATTTATGAAGACTTGTCAAAGGCTGTTAGAATAATTTTGCAAAATCATAATTCCCTTAATTAATGTGTGGCACAGAGCATAGAAAAAAAACAATTGATGCAAAAGACATTCGAGAAGGATGGCCAACTTGGCAACCAGTTGAACAAGGTAAATGAAAGATAAGGAGAATGTAAGAATAATTATGACTACAGATTTGATCTTTCAAGATAACCTTTAGCAATGAACAGATTATTGAGCCTGTTTTTCTCTAAGACTTATGAATAATAAATGGGAGCCCCAGGAAGGTAATTTGAGAAAATTTACATTGTTTTCCATACTATGAATTGGTTTTTAAAATTTTTAAGCAGCAGAATAATTTGATCACAATAAGTAGTATGACGCTTGATTATATAAATTACTGTGGCACTTTTCTGTTCAAAGAAGAATGTGGTTAGACTGGCTTTAGACCATCTATCTTCTCCTTGTGCATAATGCAAATCCCTTCAAATGCTTCCAGAGAACTTTGTATCCAATTTTGAATAAGTAGTAAATTGAGTAATGCTTCATACATGTATCTCATGTACACATAAAATGTATGTGTGTGCTGCTGAAGTTACTAAAATTCTGTTTACAAAATACAAAAATTAAATTATATATGTATTGTAAAATTAAAATTATTTCTCAATTCTAATCTTGTTAGCATAGATCAAGTACTCTCTACACCCTCATGCATGGCATTTTCTCATTTCAGGGTTAAATATTCGGAGTCAGACATGTTTACTTAGCTCTGTTCAGATATAATACTTATTTATGTTCACGATCATTTATTTAATCCCCATCCTTACTTTCAGTGTCTGATATTCATTGTACAAAATTTCTAGCAAGAAGAAGAATACTGTTTCATTACTACCTATGCTACTGTCTGTTGCTATCTATGATGCACATAACTGCAACAGATTAATTTCGTTTGGCATGATTTTATAGTACCTTTCAGAAGAATGAAAATTGAATTGTTCTGTTAGATCAATCAAGCATCAGGTCATCTGGAGTCCAAGCAAATTTAATCAGAGCAAGAATCTGTTCAGCAGACTTTATGCCTATATGTCAGCCAACTCAATTGTATCAGGGTTTTTTTCCCCCTGTATCCATGTACCTATGCATACACTTTTAAATTATGCTCACAAATTTATTTTTCTGAATTTTGCATGGCTTATTTAATTTTATTTAAAGTCAACTTGAATTTTCAAGGTATGATTGAGATATATTTTTAGAAATAGTTGGAAATACTCATTAAACAGAAGAAAAGACTAAAAGCCAGCATCTCAGTTGTTTTCACCAGACATAAAATGAGAAAAGTGACTGTAAATTCTGAAAAATTTGTAAATGATTGCTCAGATTAAATTTACAAGGAATATAAAAACTCTCTATTCCAAACATAAGCACAACAATCTTTGATAAATTTGGCGAGAAAAACATGTTGCATTTTTTTTACCCTGTATTTTTTACTTTGAATTCCTTTGGATACATAATAGTTGTACATGTGCTATTTTGATACAAGCATACAATGTGTAATGATTAAAGCAAGGTAATTAGGGCATCCATCACCTCAAACGTGCATCCAATCTTTGTGGAATATTTCAAATTTACTCCTCTAGTTATTTTGAAATACACAAAAACTATTGTTAACTGTAGTCATCCTACTGTGTTACCAAACACTAGACATTATTTCTTCTATCTAATTATATTTTGTACTCATTAACCAATCCCCTTTTCCACTCCTCCCCACTAAAACAGCTTCCGTTAAGCATCATTCTACTCTCTATCTTTATGGGTTTATTTTTTTTTAGCCCCCACATATTAATGAGAACATTTGATATCTGTCTTTCTGTGTCTGGCTTATTTCACTTAACATAATATTCTCCAGTTGTATCCACATTGTTGCAGATACAGGATTTCATTATTTTTGTGACTGAATAATATTTCATTGTGTATATGTATTACTTTTATTTATTCATCTGTTAATGGAAACATGGGTTGATTCCATATCTTGGCTAGTGTAAATAGTGCCTCAATAAACGTGGGAATGTAGGTATCTCTTCAATGTGCTGATTTTCTTTTTTTGGATATATATATCCAGCAGTGGGATTGCTGGATCATATGGTAGCTCTATTTTTAGTTTTTTTCAAAAACCTGCGTACTGTTCTCCAGAGTGGCTATACTAATTTACATTCTCATCAACAGTGTATCAGCATTCTGCTTTCTCTGTGTTCTGTTACTTTTTTATCTTTTTGATAAAAGCCATTTTAATTGGGGTGAGATGACGTCTCATTGTAGTTTTGGTTTGCATCTATCTGAGAATTACTGATGCTGAGCATTTTTTTATACTTGTTGACCATTTGTATGTCTTCTTTTGAGAAATGTCTATCATATCTTTTCAAAAGAGAAGCCATTTGATTAATTTGATAGCCATAATCATTACACCTATTTGATTTCTATGATGTAATCTTGCTTTAAAAATCATCATTGTACAATGTGGTTATTTATTTCATGTTGAACAAAATAGGGCAAAACAGCAATCGAGAGCAGAACAATCATACAAATCGAAGGAAACCTGTTCAAATGACAGAAGCCAGCTGCTGCTTTGTATTTATTTATGAAAAGCCTATAGAATTAAACATAAATATTTATAAAAATTGAATGCTGTTTACATAATATAATGCCATACTTATGATATATACTGTTTTTATAATTCAACCAAAATTTATATAAAAGGGGTTTAGCTTTCTACCAGTAATTGATAGGTTACTTTGAAATCCATTTATAAATGGATTTCAAATTACAGATAATTTCTAATTAACATCTAATTTTTATGTCTCATAATTTCGTTACTTTTCAAAAATTTAATGAACAATTGTATATTTAATTTTTACAAGATACCAAAACTTTATTTTCTTAAATAATTATAAAGTTAAGTGTCTGATCATTTACTTTTTAGTAATTTGATATTATTTGCATATTGTTTAAAAATGTTGAAGCAATATTCAGGAAACTTGTTTTAGACTTAGTCAATTTTCAGCTATGTAACTCATAAACATGGCAAATATCGATTTTATATTTCAAGATTTAAGATGACATTAACATTAGAGGCAAATAATAGAAGACAAAGATGAGCTGGTCCCATTGTTTGAAGGCAAATTCATCCTTCAAAAGAAGATATGTCACATTTTAGGTGGGCAACAATTTTTTTTTTTTTTTTTTTTTTTGATGGAATCTCGCTCTGTCGCCTAGACTGGAGTGCAGTGCCGTGATCTTGGCTCACGGCAAGCTCCGCCTCCCGGGTTCACGCCATTCTCCTGCCTCAGCCTCCGAAGTAGCTGGGACTATAGGAGCCCACCATAACGCCAGGCTAATTTTTTGTGTTTTTAGTAGAGACGGAGTGCCACCGTGTTAGCCAGGATGGTCTCGATCTCCTGACCTCGTGATTTACTTAGGTGGGCAACGTTTTGCAAAGTTATTTAAAGTTTATAATTGAAACCAAAAGCAAATAGAAATTAGACATAGAAATAACTAATTTTGTTTCATTTTAGTTAAACATAAAGATTGTATATTTATATCAATGGATAACTTGCCTGACATATATGATTTGCTATCCATACCTAAAATTGTCAAACTTAATCTAAAATGAAATAAACGTGTAAATTACCATACAGACAATAAACACAAAAATGTGAAATAAAATTTTAATATTATTACCATTGCTTTAAAACACTTTATTTCTCTGATTTCTTGAGTGTTTTATTGTAGGACTTTCTACAAATGTAGCCATTTTGGCTTAAACTACACATTACTGTTCAGTTTTCAGCAGGCATAGAACCTGTTTTAAGTTATAATCCAACCAATGCTATTATTTAGTTCACCATATAAAACATATTTCTGCATCCTTGATTTAGATGAAATTATAGAATACTTCAGTAGCAATTAACCAGGAATGTATTTCAATATGTCACAATGAGAAACATGCTTTAGAATCTTCGGTCAAAAATTATATATTATAAACTTAACTTTTGAACAAGAACTCACTGTCATGATAAATAAGCCATTGCCATAACAATAACATTAATCCATTTTAAAAGGCAGAGTGTTCATGATCTAATCACCTCTTAAATGTTCCATCTTTCAACACTGCTAAAATGACAATTAAGCCAGTGCAGTGGCTTGTACTTACAGTCCAACTACTTGGGAGGCTAAAGCAGGAGGATTACTTGAGCCTAGGAGTTAGAGGCTACACTGATATTTGATCAGGCCACTATACTCCAGCCTGGGTAACAAAGCCAGAATCTGTCTAGAAAAAAAAAAAAAAAAGGCAAGATGAGGTGGAGTAAGATGGCCAGATAGAACTATCCAGCTATAACCCCCAACCCATACAAGAACACCAAATAGAACAACTATGCACAGGAGAAAACAGCTTCATGCAAATCAAAATTTAGCTTGCGTACCAGCTCAGCCGCTGTGGGGTAGAGCAACAAGTGGGTACCTGTGGTCCTAGATTCCAGGTCTTGATTCCTAGGTGGCATTTATAAACTTATCCTGGACCAAAGGGGGAGCCTACTCCCCTGAAGGGAAAGACCCAGGCCTGGTTGCATTTACCACAGCTGGCTGAAGAACCCATGGGCTATGAGTGAACATTGACAGTAACCAGGGAGTACTTGCTGCAGGCCTGGGACAGTGATGGCCACAAATAAAGAATCCTTCTGCTTGAGGAGAGGATATGGAAAAGTGGGAAGGACTTTGTCTTGTGGTTTGGGTGCCAACTAAGCCATAGTAAAATAGAGAACCAAGTAAATTCTTAAGGTTTGTGACTCCAGGCCCTGGCTCCCAGATGGCATTTTTGAACCAGCATCTCCACTGGGGGAAATTTTCTGCCCTGAAAGGAAGGACAAAACACTGGCACAATTGGACACATACTGACTGAAGAGCCCTTGGGCCTTGAGTAAACACTGTTGGTAACCAGGTAGTGGTTTCCAAGGGCTTTGGGTGAGATAGAGTGCGGTGCTGGGCTTCAGTTCTGACCAAGTGCAGTCCCAGTGGAGGTGGCCACAGGGACGCTGTGTCACATATCCCCCAGCTCCAGACAGCTCAGCATGGAGAGAAAAACTCCATTTGTTTGGGCACAAGTAAAGAAAGAGAACAAGAGTCTCTGCCTGGTAATTCAGGGAATTCCCTCAGATCTTACCCAAGACCACCAAGGTGGTACATTTTTTAGTCTAGAAGAGTCACAGTGTTACTTAGCTTAGGGTGCCCCCCTTATGCAGAGACAGCTGCAGTGACCAAAGATTTAAATCACAATACAACATTCCCTTTGGATACATTGAAAGCCTTACCAAGAAGGATGAGTAAAACAAGCCCAGACTGCAAAGACTATAATAAATTCTTAACTCTGCAAAGCCCAGATATCAATAAATACCCAAAATCATCAAGACCATCCAGGAAAACATGATCCCACCAAAAGAACTAAATAAAGCACATGTAACCAATCCCAGAGTGATAGAGATATGCAACCTTTCAGACAGAGAATTACAAATAGCTAATTTGAGGAAGATAACAAAATTCAAGATAAGATAGAGAAGAAATTCAGAATTCTATCAGATACATTTTACAAAAAGATTAAAATAATTTTTGAAAAAGTCAAGCAGAAATTCTGGAGCTGATTTTGCACAGCAAAAGAAACTATCATCAGAGTGAACAGGCAACATACAGAATAGGAGAAAATTTTTGCAATCTATCCATCTGACAAAGGGCTAACATCTGGAATATACAAGGAACTTCAACAAATTTACAAGAAAAAAAACAACTCCATCAAAAAGTGGGAAAAGGATATGAACAGACACTTCTCAAAAGAAGACATTTATGTGGCCAACAAACGTATGAAAAAGAGCTCATCATCACTGGTCATCAGAGAAATGCAAATCAAAACCATATTGAGATACCATCTCATGCCAGTAAGAATGGCAATCATTAAAAAGTCAGGAAACAACAGAGGCTGGAGAAAATGTGGAGAAATAGGAACACTTTTACACTGTTGGGGGGAGTGTAATTTAGTTCAACCATTGTGGAAACAGTGGGGCAATTCCTCAAGGATCTAGAACCAGAAATACCATTTGACCCAGCAATCCCATTACTGGGTATATACCCAAAGCATCATAAATCATTCTGCTATAAAGACACATGCACAAGTATGTTTATTGCAGCACTATTCACAATAGACATAGACTTGGAAACCACCCAAATGTCCATCAATGATAGACTGGACAAAGAAAATGAGGCACATATACACCATGGAATACCATGCAGCCATAAAAAAGGATGAGTTCATTTCCTTTGCAGGGACATGGATGAAGATGGAAACCATCATTCTCAGCAAACTAATAGAGGAACAGAAAACCAAACACCTCATGTTCTCACTTATAAGTGGGAGTTGAACAGTGAGAACATATGGACACACAGAGGGGAACATCACACACCAGGGCTTATTAGGGGCTGGGGGGCTAGGGGAGGGATAGCATTAGGAGAAATACCTAATGTAGATGACAGGTTGATGGGTGCAGCTAACCACCATGGCACATGTATACCTATTAACAAACCTGCACATTCTGCACATGTATCCCAGAACTTAATGTATAATTAAAAAAAAATTCAGGAGCTGAAAAATGAACTGACACACTGAACAATGCATCAGAGTTTCTCAATAGCAGAACTGATCAAGCAGAAAAAGAATTAGTGAGCTTGAAGACAGGCACTTGAAAATACACATTCAGATCAGGAAAAAAAAGAATAAAAAAGAATGAAACAGGCTAAAGAGATCCAGAAAATAGCCTCAAAAGGGCAAATCTAAGGGTTATTGGCTTTAAAAAAGAGATAGAGAGATAGATCAGGGTAGAAAGTTTATTCAGAGAAATAATAACAGAGAACTTTCCAAATCTAGAGAAAGATATTAATATTCAAGGAAAAGGCTACAGAATACCAAGAATATTTAACCCAAACAACACTACCTCAAGATATTTAATAAACTCCCAAAGGTTAAGGATAAAGAAAGGATCTTAAAGCATAAAGATAAAAGAAAGAACATAAAAAGAAGTTCCAATATGTGTGGCAGCAGACTTCTCAGTAGAAATGTTGCAGGCCAGGAGAAAGTGTCATGACATATTTCAAGTGCTGAAGAATAAAATTTTTATTCTACTATGGTATATCCAGTGAAAATGTTCTTCAAACATGAAGAAATATTTTCCCAGACAAACAAAAGCTGAGGGATGTTATCAACACCAGGCCTGTCATACAAGAAATGCTAAAGGGAGTTTTTCAGTCCCAAGGAAAGGATATTAATGACCAATAAGAAATCATCACAAGGTGTAAAACTTACTGGTAATAGTAAGTACACAAACAGAAAATATTATAACAGTGTAATTGTAGTGTGTAAATTACTCATATATTGAGTAGAAAGAGTAGAAAATAAACCTATCAGCAATAACTACAACAACTTTTCAAGAAATAGTATAAGATACAAACTGAAATTTTAAAAAGTTAAAAAGTAAAGAGATGAAGTTTTTATTTTCCTCTTTGCTTATTTTTAGTTTGTCAGTTTTTAGTTTTGTCAGTTTTTGCAATCAGTGTTAAGCTGTCATCAGTTAAATGTAATGGGTTACAAGATGTTCTTTGCAAGCCTCATGATAACCTCAAATCAAAACAAGTAGAACAGATATACAGACAAACAATAAAAAGCAAGAAATTAAAACATACCACCACCGAAAATATGCATTCTTCTCCTTAGCACATGGATTATTATCAGGGATAGACCATATTTTAGGTAACAAAACAAGTCTTAAAATATACACAAAAAAAATTGAAAACATATCAAGTAAGTTCTCTGGCCACAATAGAGTAAATCTCTAAATCAATAGCAAGAACTTTAGAAGCTTGACAAACACATGAAAATTAAACATGTTAGTGATGAATGGGTCAAAGAATAAATTAAGAAGGAAATTGAAAAATGATTTGAAACAAATGAAAATGAACACACAACATATCAAAATCTATGGAATACAGCAAAAGTCCCAGTAAGAGGAAAGTTAATAGCAATAAGCACCTACATCAAAAAAGTAGAAAAATTTCAAATAAAAAACCTGGCCAGGTGCAGTGGCTTACACCTGTAATCCCAGCACTTTGAGAGGCTGAGGTGGGCGGATCATTTAAGGCCAGGAGTTCGAGACCAGCCTGGGCAACATGGTGAAACCCCCATCTCTACTAAAATTACAAAAATTAGCCAGGTGTGGTGGCACATGTTTGTAATCCCAGCTACTTGGGACGCTGAGGCACAAGAATTGCTTGAACACAGGAGGTGGAGTTTGCAGTGAGCCAAGATCCTGCCACTGCACTCCAGTCTGGGTGACAGAGGGAGACTCAGTCTCAAAAAAACAAACAAAAACAAAAAAGCCTGATGATGCATCTAGAAGAACTAGAAAAGCAAGAGTAAACCAAAAACAAAAATTGTAAAAGAAAAGAAACAATAAATATCAGAGAAGAAATAAATGAAATTGAAATGAAAAAATTAAAATGAAGTTAGTTTTTTAAAAAGATAAAGTCAAAAAAACTTGTCAGACTAAGAAAAAGAGAGAAGACCCAAGCAAATAAAATCAGAGACAAAAAATGAAACATTCCAATTGATACCACATAAAGTCAAAGAGTCATTAGACTAGCATGAGCAACTATGTGCCAATAAATTAGAAAATGTAAAAGAAATGGATAAATTCCTAGACAAAAGAACCTGCTATAATTAAACTCTGAAGAAATTAAAAACCCGAATAGAACAATAACAAGCACTGAGATCCAAGCTGTAATAAAAAGTCTCACAGGAAAGAAAAGTCCAGAACCCAATGGCTTCACTGCTGAAAGTTACCAAATACATAAGATGAACTAGTATTAACACTACTCAAATCATTCCAAAAAATAAAGGAGGATGGAGCACTTGCAAACTCATTATATGAAGCCATTATTACTGTGATACCAAAACCAGGCAAAGACACCTCACATCCATAAACAAAACAAAAAAACAAAATCAGTTAAAACTACATGATGGTATTTCCGAGGAATACCGATGCAAAAATCCTCAACAAAATGCTAGCAAACAAATTCAACAACACATTAAAAAGATCATTCATCATCACCGAGTTGATTTATCCCTGGGATACAAAGATAATTCAAATATGCCGATCATTAATTTGATACTGCATATCAACAGAATGAAGGACAAAAACGTATGAACATTTCAATTGATGCTGTAAAGGCAGATGGAAAAAGTCAACACCCCATCATGATAAAAAACATAAAAAGACTGGGAATAGAAGGAACATACCGCAACACAGTAGAAGTCATATATGGCAGTCCAACAGCTAGTATTATAATCAATGAAGAAAAAATAAAAACCTTTGAGTGGGCGCAGTGGCTCACGCCTGTAATTCCAGCACTGTGGGAGGCCGAGGTGGCCAGATCACGAGGTCAAGATCTCGAGACCATCCTGGCCAATATGGTGAGACCCCGTCTCCCCTAATAATACAAAAATACAAAAATTAGCTGGGCGTGCTGGCACGTGCTTGTGGTCCTAGCTACTTAGGAGGCTGAGGCAGGACAATAGCTTGAACCTGGGAGGCGGAGGCTGCAGTAAGCAGAGATCGCGTCACTGCACTCCAGCCTGGCGACAGAGTGAGACTCCGTTTTAAAAAACAAAAACAATAACAAAAACAAAAAAAAACATTTTTTTGTAAAATCGGGAACAAGGCAATGATTCCCACTTACCCCACTGTTATTAAATATCCCACTGGAAGTCCTAGCTGGAACAATGATACAAGAGAAAGAAATAAAGGGCATCTAAGTTGGAAAGGAAATTAAATTATCATCTTATATTTGAAAAAACCTAAAGACTCCACCAAAATACTATTAGAACTGATAAACAAATTCCGTAAAATTACATGATATAAAATTAACACAAAAAATCAGCATCATTTCTATATTCCAATTGTAAAAGAAATTAAGAAAGTAATCCCCTTTACAATAGCTACAAATAAAATAAAATACCTAGGAATAAACTTAACCAAAGAATTGAAAAATATGTGCAAAGAAACTATAAAACATGATGTAAAAAACTGAAGGGGACACAGAAAAAGTAGAAAGATACCCCATGTTTATGGATTGGAAGAATCAATATTGTTATAATGTTCACACTACTCAAAGCAATGCATAGATTTAATTCAATCCTTATCAAAATACCAATGACATTCCTCAAAGAAAAAGCAAAAATAATTCTAAAATTTATATGGAACCACAAAAGGCCCAGAATAACCAAAGCTATCAAGAGCAAAAAGGATAAAACTGGAGGAATCACATTACCTGACTTCAAATTATACTACAGAGGTATTATAGCCAAAGCAGCACGGTATTAGCATAATAAACAGACACAGAGACCAGCAGAGGGGCACTGGGCTGGAATGTGGGGATCTTGGGGTGTCCTTGGGCATCAAGCTAATGGAGGGTTCCCCAGGCTCATTCCTCAAAATCATTCTGCCCTCCTAGAGGTCTAGACCTGTAATGAAAGGACCAGCCTCTAAGATCTTCAAAATCCCTTTGGGGTCATTCTGGCATTGTTTTGATGATTCCTTCTCACTATACTAAACTCCTTAATAGAATGCCAGTTAGCTACACTCTTATTTTTTTTTTCCCAAACATGCAAACATGCACTTGAAGTCTTATTTATTTATTTGTTTCTAATTTTGAGACAGGGTCACCCTCTGTCACTGATGCTGGAATGCAATCATTGCTCACTGCAGCCTCAACTTCTTGGGCTCAAACAATCTTCCTACCTTGGCCTCCCAAAGGGTTGGGATTAGAGTTATGAGACATTGAGTTTAGCCCTTTTAAGATTTTACATTGCCAGTTATAAGTTTTTCAAATGTTTCCATTTTACATCTATTTTAATTGTAAATTTTGCCTTCAAGTAATTATTTTCCTCTGGCATTTTACAATATGCAGTTAAATGTAGCCACACAGTAGCCTGAATGCTTTGCTGCTCAGATGTTTCTCCTGGCAGATATGCTAGTTCATTGCTCTTAAATTCTGCATTGCATAAAACCCTAGGGCATAGAAGTAATTCAGCCAATTTCTTTGTGACTTCATAATGAAGATACTAGTATTAGTCAGTTTTTTGTGTCACTATAAAAGAATAACTGACACTGGTTAATTGATAAAGAAAAGAAGTTTAATTGGCTCACAGTTCTAGAGGCTGTACAGGAAACGAGGTGACAGCATCTCCTTCTGGTGAGGACTTCAGATAGCGTATAATCAAGGCAGAAGGCAAAGGAGAAACAGACATATCACATGATATGAGAGGAAGCAAGAGAGATGGGGGAGGTCCAACACTCTTTTAAACAACCAGATCTTATGTGAACTCATA
Source organism: Homo sapiens (assembly GCF_000001405.40). Taxonomy (NCBI): domain Eukaryota; kingdom Metazoa; phylum Chordata; class Mammalia; order Primates; family Hominidae; genus Homo; species Homo sapiens. The sequence goes on along the minus strand of NC_000013.11, from coordinate 86,367,170 downwards.
GAGTGAGACTTCACCCATTACTGTAAGGATGATACCAAGCCATTCACCACGGATCCACCCCCATGACCCAAACACCTCTCATCAGACCTTACCTGTAACATTGGGGATTACATTCAAAATGAGATTTAGAGGGGACAAATATCAACACTATGTCATTCTGTCTCTGGCCCCACTAACCTCATATACTTCTTATATTGTGTGATAGTTAATATTGAGTGTCACCTTGATTGGATTGAAGGACGCAAAGTATTGTTCCTGAGTGTGTCTATGAGGGTGTTGTCAAAGGACATTAACATTTGAGTCAATGGACTAGGAGAGGCAAATCCACCCTCAATCTGGATGGATACCATCTAATCAGCTGCCAACATGGCAAGATAAAAGCAGGCAGAGGAATGTGGAAAGACTAGACTGGCTAAGTCTTCTGGCCTCCATCGTTCTCTCATGCTGGATGCTTCCTGCCCTCAAAGGTCAGACTCCAAGTTCTTCAGCTTTTGGGCTCTTGGACTTACACCAGTGATTTGCAAGGGCCTCTCAGGCCTTCAGCCACAGAATGAAAGCTGCACTATTGGCTTCCCTACTTTTGAAATCTGGGGACTTGGATTAGCTTCCTGGCTCCTCAGCTTGCAGACAACCTATTGCGGGACTTCACCTTCTGATCCTGTGAATCAATTCTCCTAATAAACTCCCCTCCATGTATTCATCTATCGTATTAGGTATGTCCCTTTAGAGAAGCCTGACTAATATACATCGCAAAATGCAATCATCCCTTCTCAGTAGTCCCCCAGTTGCTTAATTCATTCCTGACCCAACTCAAAAGTCCCAAAGTCAAAAGACTTATCTGAGATTCAAGTCGATTTTCTTCCACCTATGAGCCCTTACGATCAAAAACAAGTTATTTGCTTGTAAGATAAATTGGTGGCACAGGCATTTTGATAAACATTCCCATTCCAAATGGGAGAAATCAGCCAAAGGAAAGGAGTAACAGGTCTCATGCTAGTTAGAAAAGGAGAAGGGCAGACATTAAACTTAAAGCTCCAGCATAATCTTTCTTGATCCTGGGCATACTGGTATAAAGGGTAGGCTCACAAGGTCTGCCTTTTGGCTTTGTAAGTTGTAGACCAAGTGGTTGCGCTCATGGTTTAGAGTTGAGTGCTTGTGGCTTTTCTAGGCAAAGGATGCAAGCTGTGAGTGAATCTACCATTCTGGGTTCTGGAAGGTGATTCCCCTTTCCTGCCACTCCACTAAGAAGTACCCTGGTAGGGACTCTATGTGGTATTCCAATCTCACACTTCCCTTCAGCATTGCCCTAGTAGAGTTTCTCTGTGGAGGCTCTATCCCTAAAACAGGCTTTTGCGTGGACACTTAGGTTTTTCCATATATCCTCTGAAATACAGGTGGAAGCCACCAAGCCTCCTCTACTCTTACATTCTGAGCATCTAAAAACTGAACACCTTGTGGAAACCACCAAGCCTTATGGCTTTTGCTCTCCTGAGCTGTGGCCTAGGTTGTGCCTGCACCCCTTTGAGCTGAGGCTGAGGCTGGAGTGGCCAGGATGCAGAGAATGGTGTCCTGAGGCTAAGCAGAAGGGTGGCACTCTGGGCCTGGCACTTGAAAGCATTCTTTCCTCCTATGCCTTTGTGCCTTTGATGGGGTGGGGGTTTCTTAGAAAGATCTCTGAAATGCCTTTGAGTCTTTTTCCAATTATCTTCGATTTTAGCACTTGGTCCTTTTACAGTCATGTTAATCTCTCTAACAAGTGGTTGCTCCACAGTCTGCTTGGATTCTTTCTATCCTGAAATGCTTTTTTCCTGCTCTATCACATGGCCAGGTTGTGAATTTTCCAAACTTTTATGCTCTGCTTCTCTTTTAATGTAAGTTCCAACTTTAAGTCATGGCAGCAAATGGAAGCAACAGAGAGAGAAAGAGGCCAAACTTCATCTTTTTATTAAGAGCCCACTCCCAGCTACTCAGGAGGCTGAGGCAGGAGAATCGCTTGAACACGGGAGGCAGAGGTTGTGGTGAGTCGAGATTGTGCCACTGCACTCCAGCCTGGGCTACAGAGCAAGACCCTGTCTCAAAATTAAACAAACAAATAAATAAAATAAAATAAATAAATACATATTTTACACACTACAAATGTAACAACACAATACTCCTCCATTGAAAATACTAATTATATTAGCCAGATTGAATACATTATAGTCAGCTTCTTTGTTTGGGTTTATAAAGCAGTAAAGTCTAGCTGTTATTTATGTAAAACAGCTTTCCAAGAAATTTACTATGGATAATTATTGCCGATAACACATCTAAAATTTGAATGACAATCTATATAAATAAATTTTTAGACATTTTGTAAACTTCTATATGCGACATTAGCTATCTAAATAAAATGATGGAAACTCCTTAAAACAGACTCTTTAGAAGTAATTATTTCAATGATTTGAAAGTTATCTCAATGGATATATACAACTATAGGTGTTTTTGTTTTTTTTAAATGCATACCACATTACAGTCTTACTAATATTTAAAAAGACTTTCAGGATGAACATACTGAGTTTCTAATCAGCTCATTAAAAAGTAAAGTAAATTTCATTAACATTCTAGAGTAATTTCTGATATATTATACACTTTCAGCATTAAATTAATCAACAAATGGGAATAATATCAAAGCGTAAGCACAACACACAAATAATGATAAATAATTCTGTGCTTTTCACAGTCTACAATATAAACATCTATTCACAGCTTCTCTCAGCATCATTGAAATATCTTCTTAGCACTCTCTCTTCCAAAGCCTTTTTCACCTCAGGAGAGCATAAATGCCTGCACAAAACTGTGAACTTTTGGAGTTGTGAATCTCCTTGGTCAGTTAATCATAATGTTGCCTACACAACTGTATGGGTCAGCTGAAGTTCAGAAGAAAGGTGGCAATAAACCATTGGTAAAATTTCAGATGGTACGGTTAGAAAGAGGTCAACTACACAGGATAATCTAGAAGTGTATTGTCCCTCTTACCCAATATTTAGTCAGACTTTCATGCGCGTCCGTGTGAAGAGACCACCAAACAGGCTTTCTGTGAGCAACATGGCTGTTTATTTCACCTGGGTGCAGGCGGGCTGAGTCCGAAAAGAGAGTCAGTGAAGGGAGATAAGGGTGGGGCCATTTTATAGGATTTGGGTAGGTAAAGGAAAATTACAGTCAAAGGTGGTTTGTTCTCTGGCAGGCAGGAGTGGGGATCCCAAGGTGCTCAGTGGGGTTGCTTTTTGAGCCAGGATGAGCCAGGAAAAGGACTTTCACAAAGTAATGTCATCACTTAAGGCAAGGACCAGCCATTTACACTTCTTTTGTTGTGGAATGTCATCAGTTAAGGTGGGGCAGGGCATATTCACTTCTTTTGTGATTCTTCAGTTACTTCAGGCCATCTGGGCGTATACGTGCAAGTCACAGGGGATGCGATGGCTTGGCTTGGGCTCAGAGGCCTGACATTCCTGCCTTCTTATATTAATAAGAAAAATAAAACAAAATAGTGTTTAAGTGTTGGGGTGGCGAAAATTTTTGGGGGGTGATATGGAGAGAGAATGGGTGATGTTTCTCAGGGCTGCTTCAAGTGGGATTAGGGGCGGCGTGGGAACCTAGAGTGGGAGAGATTAAGCTGAAGGGAGATCTTGTTGGGTTGTTAGAAGAAACATTTGTTGTATAGAATGATTGGTGATGGCCTGGATACGGTTTTGTATGAATTGAAAAACTAAATGGAATAGCAGAAGGAGAAAAACAGGTATAAAAGGTCTAAGAATTGGGACGACTCAGGATATCTGATTAGAGAGTGCCTAGGAGATTCAGCATAGTCCTGCCAGCAAAGATTATTTATTTACTTCAAGAGTTAAGAGTGGCAGTTTGGGGATAGCACCAGGAGATATCAGCTGTGATGGCTTGGAAAAACAGTGTAAACCGGCAGTGTAAACAAGAGCAGGGCATGTATGAGTAGTTGAGAACAGTGAATAAGAGTGTGACTAGACAGAAGATAGTAGGGATGACAAGTTTTTTGGGGCACAGTCTAAGTTGGTCTGGTGTCTGGAATGAGACTGGGGCCTAATAAAAAGGAGCGTCTATACAGGAGCTTAAATGGGCTGTAGCCTGTAGCATTCCGAGGACAGGCCCTGAATTCTGAGAAGGGAAAGTGGTAAAAGTATTGTCCAGTCCTTTTTTGGTGGCTGAGCTTGGTGAGGTGTGTTTTTAAAAGACCTTTAGTCCATTCTACTTTTCTTGAAGACGGAGGACCATAAGGGATATAAAGGTTTCACTGAATACTAACAGCCTGAAAAACTGCTTGGCTGATTTGACTAATAAAGGCTCATCTGTTATCAGACTGTATTGAGGTGGAAAGGCTAAACTGAGGAATTATATCTGACAGAACGGAAGAAATGACTGTGGTGGCCTTCTCAGACCCTGTAGGAAAGGCCTCTACCTATCTAGTGAAAGTATCTACCTAGACTAAGAGGTATTTTAGTTATCTGACTCAGGGCATGTTGAGTAAAGCTAATTTGCCAGTCCTGGGTGGGGCAAATCCTCAAGCTTGATGTGTAGGGAAGGGAGGGGGGCCTGAATAATCCCTGAGGAGTAGTAGAATAGCAGATGGAACACTGAGAAGTTATTTCCTTGAGGATAGATTTCCACGATGCAAAGGAAATGAGAGGTTCTAAGAGGCGGGCTAGTGGCTTGTACTATAGTATAACCTGCCTTTGCTGGTGTGTGGCGATTAGGCCTGGTGGAACCGCCATCAATAAATCAAGTGTGATCAGGGTGAGGAACAGGAAAGAAGGAAATCTGGGGAAATGGGGTGAATGTCAGGTGGATCGGAGAGATACAGTCATGGGGGTCAGGTGTGGTATCAGGAATAATGTGGGAGGCCGGATTGAAGTCTGGGCCAGGAACAACGGTAATTGTAGGAGACTCAACAAAGAGTGAGTACAGCTGAAGGAGCCGGGGAGCAGAAAGTATATGCATCAGGTATGAGGAAGAAAATAGATTTTGGAAGTTATGAGAACTGTAGAGAGTGAGTTGAGCATAGTTCGTGATTTTGAGGGCCTCTAAAAGTATTAAAGCAGTGGCAGCCGCTGCACGCAGACATGAGGGCTAGGCTAAAACAGTAAGGTCAAGTTGTTTGGACAGAAAGGCTACAGGGTGCGGTCCTGGCTCTTGTGTAACAATTCTGACCGCGCTAACCATGCCTAGGAAGGAAAGGAGCTGTTTTGTAGAAGGTGCTTGGGTTTAAGAGATCAGTCGGACACGATTGGCAGGGAGAGCACGTGTGTTTTTATGAGAATTATGCCAAGATAGGTAACAGATGAAGAAATTTGGGCTTGATTGAAGTAATGGGGGCTGTCTGTGAAGCTTTGCGGCAGTACAGCCTAGGTAATTTGCTGAGCTTGATGGGTGTCAGGGTCAGTCCAAGTGAAAGCGAAGAGAGGCTGGGATTAAGGGTGCAAAGGAATAGTAAAGAAAGCATGTTTGAAATCCAGAACAGAATAATGGGTTGTAGAGGCAGGTATTGAGGATAGGAGAGTATATGGGGTATATGGGTTTGGCACCACGGGGTGGATAGGCAAAACAATTTGGTTGATAAGGCGCAGATCCTGAACTAACTTGTAAGGCTTGTCTGGTTTTAGGACAGGTAAAATGGGGGAATTGTAAGGAGAGTTTATAGGCTTTCAAAGGCCATGCTGTAGCAGGCGAGTGATAACAGGCTTTAATCTTTTTAAAGCATGCTGCGGGATGGGATATTGGCGTTGAGTGGGGTAAGGGTGATTAGGTTTTAATGAGATGGTAAGGAGTGCATGATTAGTCACCAAGGAGGGAGTAGAGGTATCTTATACTTGTGGGTTAAGGTGGGATACAAGAGGAGGACGCAAAGGAGTCTTTGAATTGGGAAGAAGGGCGGCAATAAGATATAGCTGTAGTCCAGGAAAAGTCAGGGAAGCAGATAATTTAAAGTGTCTCAGCCTAATAAGGGAACTGGGCAGGTGGGGATAACTAAAAAGGAGTGCTTAAAAGAGTATTGTCTAAGTTGGCACCAGAGTTGGGGAGTTTTAAGAGGTTTAGAAGCCTGGCCGTCAATACCCACAACAGTTATGGAGGCAAGGGAAACAGGCCCTTGAAAAGAAGGTAATGTGGAGTGGGTAGCCTCCACATTGATTAAGAAGGGGACTGGCTTACCTTCCACTGTGAGAGTTACCCGAAGCTCGGCGTCCGTGATGGTCTAGGGGGCTTCTGAGGCGATCTGGTAGTGTCAGTCTTCAGCCGCTAAGCCGAGAAGATCTGGGAAGGAGTCAGTCAGAGAGCCTTGGGCCAGAGTTCCAGGGGCTCTGGGAGTGGCTGCCAGGTGAGTTGAACAGTCCGATTTTCAGTGGGGTCCCACACAGATGGGACGCGGCTTAGGAGGAATCCTGGGCTGTGGGCATTCCTTGGCCCAGTGGCCAGATTTCCGGCACATGTAGCAAGCTCCTGTGGGAGGAGGTTCTGGAGGAACGCCTGGACGCTGCGGTTCAGGCGTTTGGAAGTTCTTGTGTGCTGGAGATGTGGCTGGGGTTTGTCTCACAGTGGAGGCAAGGAATTGCAACTTTTTTCTATTATTGTACACCTTGAAGGCGAGGTTAATTAAATCCTGTTGTGGGGTTTGAGGGCCGGAATTTAATTTTTTGAGTTTTATTTAATGTCGGGAGCACATTGGGTAATAAAATGTATTTTGAGAATAAGATGGCCTTTTGACCTTTTAGGGTCTAGGGCTGTAAAGCGTCTCAGGGTTGCTGCCAAACGAGCCATGAACTGGGCTGGATTTTTACATTTGATGAAAAAGAGCCTAAACGCTTCTGACTTGGGATAAAGAAAAGGAGCATTAACCTTGACTATGCCTTTAGCTCCAGCCACCTTTTTAAGAGTAAATTGCTGGTCAGGAGGGGGAGGGCTAGTCACGGAAGGAAACTGTAAGCTGGACCAGGTGTGAGGAGGGGAGGTGATAAAAAGATTATAGGGTGGAGGAGCAGAGGCTGAGGAAGAATTGGGACCTAGCTTGGCCTGGCGAGGAGCAGCCTGGGGAGGAAGGGAGAGGTCAGATGGGTCTGTAGAAAAGGAAGGTTAGAAAGACTCAGCGACGCTTGGGGTTGGTACTGAGGGGACAGGCGGGAGGGAAAGAAGGAAGATTTGGGACGAGTTGCACTGTGCGCAGAGACTAGGAAGGGACTGATGTGTAAAAGAATGCCTGGACGTCAGGCACCTCAGACCGTTTGCCTATTTTACGACAAGAATTATTTAGATTTTGTAGGATGGAAAAATTCAAAGTGCAATTTTCTGGCTATTTGGAACTACTGTCGAGTTTGTATTGGGGTCAAGCGGCATTGCAGAAGAAAATAAGGCATTTAGGTTTTAGGTGAGGTGTGAGTTGAAGAGGTTTTAAGTTTTTGAGAACACAGGCCAAGGGAGTAGAAGGAGGAATGGAGGGTGGAAGATTGCCCATAGTGAAGGAAGCAAGCCTAGAGAAAAGAGAGAGTAGAGAAATGGAGGGAAGGGGTTCGGGGGTTCTTACCTTCCAGAAAAGTGGGAAAAGGGGTTGGGGCACAGAGATAAGAGGTCGGGCGTGGAAATAAGGGATGGGGCGCAGAAATAAGAGGTCAGGGTGTGGAAATAAGGGATTGGGGCTCAGAGATATAAGAGGTTGGGGTGCGGAAATAAGGGATTGGGGTGCAGAGATATGAGGTTGGGGCACGGAAATAAGAGATTGGGGTGCAGAGATACGAGGTTGGGGCATGGAAATAAGGGATTGGGGTGCAGAGATAAGAGGTTGGGGTGTAGAAATAAGGGATTGGGGCACAGAGATAAGAGGTTGGGGTGCGGAAATAAGCGATTGGGGGGCAGAGATAAGAGGTTGGGGCGTGGAAATAAGGGATTGGGGGTTCTTGCCCCGTAGAAAAGTGGAACTTGCCGCTAAGGGTGAAGGAGAAGGGGTTGAGGGGTACTTGCCCCTCTCCCAGAAAAGCAGAGAAGGGGTAGAGACAAGGAGAGAAGGGGTTGGGGTACTTGCCCCTTCCCCAGAAAAGCGGGACTTGCCGCTAAGGGTGAAGGACCAAGGCAGGCGTCCCTGTGTGGTCTGACACCCTTGAAACGTGGGTGTATAATTGCACCCATTGCAGAGAGGCGTCCCTGCAATGATTAAACACCAAGGGAAGGCTGCCTTCCCAGTCCGTGACAGGCGCCGGAGTTTTGGGTCCACGGATAAAACATGTCTCCTTTGTCTCTCCCAGAAAATGAAAGGAATTGAAATTAAGAGAAGGGAGAGATTGAAGAGTGGAAAGGAGAAAGTTGTTGAGGGACAGTGAGAGAGGTTGGAGAAGAGAGTAAGAAGAGGCTGCTTACCTGATTTAAAATTGGTGACATGTTCCTTGGGCTGGTCGGTCTGAGGACCTGAGGTCATAGGTGGATCTTTCTCACGGAGCAAAGAACAGGAGTACAGGGATTGATCTCCCAAGGGAGGTCCCCCGATTCGAGTCACAGCGCAAAATTTCATGCACGTCCGTGTGAAGAGACCACCAAACAGGCTTTGTGTGAGCAACATGGCTGTTTATTTCACCTGGGTGCAGGCGGGCTGAGTCCCAAAAGAGAATCAGTGAAGGGAGATAAGGGTGGGGCCGTTTTATAGGATTTGGATAGGTAAAGGAAAATTACAGTCAAAGGGGGTTTGTTCTCTGGCGGGCAGGAGTAGGGGTCGCAAGGTGCTCAGTGGGGGTGTTTTTGAGCCAGGATGAGCCAGGAAAAGGACTTTCACAAGGTAATGTCATCATTTAAGGCAAGGACCAGCCATTTACACTTCTTTTGTGGTGGAATGTCATCAGTTAAGGTGGGAAAGGGCGTATTCACTTCTTTTGTGATTCTTCAGTTACTTCAGGCCATCTGGGCATATACGTGCAAGTCACAGGGGATGCGATGGCTTGGCTTGGGTTCAGAGGCCTGACAGAGTCCAGCATCAAATCTTAAGTCTAAATGTTTCAGTTTCAGTGTTCTTAGGGTTGCAACATTGCCCTGTTTTGTTGGTTGGATTAAATACATCATAACTTAAACATACTTAATGTGATTTTCTATTGCTAAGTGACCTCTTGTGATAACTAATTTTCTGGTTAAAAAAAGAAATTTTTAGCATCCTTTGTTATGCAATCATATTTGCAACCCCAAATTAGAATTCTTAGAATTTATGCTTTTTTAAAAATGGGAATGGTACATCCAGGGCTTCAGTGGACAGACATAAACAGCCAAGTGAGTCCTCATGTACGACACAGGATTTTCAAAGTAGAATATTCAAATGTTTGCTTCCTTGGTAACAAGCCATAGATATGGTAGTATTCACTCCTTCAGAGCTACTGCTTGGCTCTTGCTAGGTAACTAGAAAAAAATCTTGTATTGATCAATGTTAACTAGTAAAGTATAAGTTCATCCTGTGAACAAGCATGACAGCTAGAACATGAGACAGGTGTTCAGTTGTTGTTGTTGTTTTTCAGTTATTTTCATTGTTCTTTGTTTTCCCTCCTTTTATGAAAGGTCCTACTCTTTTGTTTTCCCCAGTCACTAAATTATCTCTCCAAAGTGCATCTTTATGAACAGGAACCTAGTCTCTTTGATCACTTATCTCAATAGAAATTGGGACTAACTTCTTATAGGATCAACTGATTTTTTTTCTAGTGAGTTTAATTTAGCAGCACACTAAGCTATTGTGATTAGGTGATAAATAAGAGGTTACTACTGCTTACATGACATGCCAGTGGAACAGACTATAGCATCCAAAAGTAGGCCCTCACTTATGTAATTTGTTGAAGTTCAAAAAGTCTTTGAAGTAATTCCATGAAGAAAAGCAACACTGGAAATGCTCTACATAAATATACAAGTTCCTGCAGTCTAGCCCTGAAGGATTCTGTATACATAAGTCCAAGTCAAGCTTCCTAAATCAATTTTTCTTTTACTTCCCTGTGGATACCGATAAGAAATATTTATGTGGGTGCCTATACACTGAAGCTTAAAGCAATACTTTTTGGTGGGTAATATTAGACAAGGGTGGCAAAAAATAGCATGTGGATTCTCAACTGGTGGTGGTGTAGAAAGGGAACTCTCTTATCCAGCATCCTAAGGACAGTTTGTGAGATCTTTCATGGGTTATACCTACTGTTATCTATCACTCCACTCTACCTCAAATACAACAAAAACATTCACAAACATTCTCCCACCAGATGTGTCCTGGACAGTTCTACACTTACTAATAGCATGATTGCAGAAACTGAGTTTCAACTTGTTATCTATTCTACCATTTTATCTTCCTTAGACTGCTGCAGTTGCTTCTCTTCCTGTTTTCATCTTTATCCCATTATACTTTAAATATCAACTTTTTATTGATTAGTGAAATAATCTCGATATACATCTAAACAAATACTTATAAAAATGTCACATCATATTACTCTCCTCAAAAGCTTCCAAAGACTTCTATCTTACTTAGAGTGTAATAGCAAGGCTTTGTATTGAACTACAAAGCCTTACATGATCTGTCCCTACTCCCTGCTTCTAATATGCTACCACTTTGCTCTCTCTCCTTCATAAATACTAACCTTCCTATTCTTCCTCTAATTTTTACTGGGTATTTCACTTGTTATTTCCTCCACAGTGTCCTTCCTGTACGTGCTGAGGAAGATACCACTTTGTGCTTTCCCTGAGTCACAGTGTCTAAAATAGTCACACCCATCACTGGCTATATAATTCTTAGATTCCAGCAAAAAATAAAAAAAAACACATGACCTTTGGCTAAAAAAAGTCAAAAAACAGCAGATGCTGGCCAGGTTGTGGAGAAAAAGGAATGCTTTTACACTGTTGGTGGGAGTGTAAATTAGTTCAATCACTTTGGAAGACAATGTAACGATTCCTCAAAGACCTAAAGAGGGAAATACCATTCAACCCAGCAATCCCATTACTGGGTATATACCTACAGGAATATAAATCATTCTTTCATGAAGACACATGCACACATACGTTCACTGCAGCACTATTCCCAATGACAAAGGCATGGAATCAACCTAAATACCCATCAATGATAGGCTGGATAAAGAAAATATGGTACGTATACACCATGGAATACTATGCAGCCATAAAAAAGAACAAGATCATGTCCTTTGCAGGGACATGGATGGAGCTGGAGGCCATTATCCTTAGAAAACTAACACAGGAACAGAAAACTGAATACCACATGTTCTCACTTGTAAGTGGAAGTTAAATGATGAGAACACATGGACACACAGAGGGGAACAACACACACTGTAGCCTATCAGAGGGTAGAGGTTTGGAGGAGGGACAGGGTCAGGAAAAATAACTAATGGGTACTAGGCTTAATACCTGGATGAGATAATCTGTACAACAAACCTCCATGACACATGTTTACCTATGTAATAATCCTGCATGTGTCCTTGAACTTAAAAGTTTAAAATAAATGATAAATAAACATTTATATTCCTGTAAAAAAAAAAAAAAAAAAAACCCAAAAAGCAACCAACAAACAAACAAATAACAGAACAAGTTATGCTGGATGGTGACTCATGCCTGTAATTTCAGCAGTTTAGGAGTCAGAGGTGGGAAGATGGCCCAAGAGATTGAGGCTGCAGTGAGCCGTGATTGTACCACTGCACTCCAGCCCAGGTGACAGAGTGAGATCCTATTTCAAAGAAAAAAATATCCCCCAAAACAAGTAATATTAAGACAGTGTGCAATGGACTGAATATGAATGTTTATTTTCCCACAAAATTTGTTGAAACTTAATCACCAATGTGACGTTATTAGGAGATGGATTTTGGGGAGGGATTAGATCATGAGGGCAAGTCCCTCAGGAATGCAATTAGTGTCCGTATAAAAGAGAACCAAAGGAGCTCAGTTGTCCCTTTCAACATGTAAGGACACAACTAGAAAGCACCCTCTATGAATCAGAGAGCTGCTCCTCATTTGACATTGAATCTGCTGGCACACTGATCTTGGACTTCCTAGCCTCTAGAACTGTGAGAAACAAATTTCTGTTGTTTATAAGTATTTTAGTTTATAAAATATTGTTGCAGCAGACCAAAATAACTAGGCGGCAGTGAAAGTAGAACAATAAACCAAGGATGACCTTGTTATTTATGTAAAGCAGCTTTCCAAGAAATTTACTGTGGGTAATTATTGCCAATAACACATCTAAAATTTGAATGACTATGTAAATAAATTTTTAGACATTTTGTAAACTTCTATATGCAACATTAACTATCTAAATAAAATGATGGAAACTCCTTAAAATCAAACAGACTCTTTAGAAGTAATTATTTCAGTGATTTGAAAGTTATCTCATTGGATATGTACAACTATAGGTGTTTTTTCCCAAATACAATTTTTCCCCAACTAGTGACATGACCACATCAGTCGGAGTCCTGTCTATATTTAATGAACAATCAGAATATACTTGTAGATTGGATAATAGAACAACATTTTTTAAAAAATTCCTTCTAAATTATGTGTTTGCATTTTCAAGGCTCCCTACAACATCATTACTGGAAAAGTTCATGATAGAAATACATTAGTTTTAAGTAGTAATGGCAATTTAATGTTAAATGTAGTGGTGATGTAGGAGTTATTAAGAAATTATTTTAGGCAGATAGAGAGGAAAAGGGGTCCTTGAGAAGTTTTCGTTTTTTAAACCATCTCTGGAAAAGTTTCTTGTAAAGCCTCTGCTCTTAAGAGTCAGGCAGGCAATCTTTGATATGCAAATGCAGACCATTAGAAACTGGGTCCACCCAACATGGGGATCCCCGCAGCCTTCTTGCCCTTCCCCAACATGGGCCTGGTAACATGATGGCCCTCACATATCCCCACGTGTGTAGAACATCATGGTGCCCTACATTTGCCTATTAAAAGGCTAGGGTGAGAAGGCCAGCTTTTTCGAGGGCTATATGAATGACATGCCTGGTCAAACCAATCCCCTGAGCCCTATGCAAATCAGACACTGGTTCCTCCAGCCTCTATATATACACCTGGCTGGTTTCCACCCTACTTGGGGTTCCCTCTCTTGGCTTTGGAGCGCCCCTCCCTCTGTCTCTGTACAGGGGAGCTTCTTCCTTCTCCCTTCCATCTTGCCCCTTCTTGCCTGTTAAACTCTCTGCTCCTTAAAACCATTCCACATGTGCCTGTGTCATTTTATTTAAACCTGCATGAGGACTAAGAACCCTGGTGTCCTACACTCATCAGAGCCATATCAGTGGTTTATGTTTCTTGGTAACTCTGATGAAAACAACAGCTTAATAATAAATTAGCTGAAAGTTATTGTATTTAAAAGCTTTGACTCTATACAGAAATAAGAAATTATGTATTGTTTATAAAAGATTTAAAATGTCTCCTACTGACATTCAAATGTGAAGTTTTAGGCTAGGTTTTGTTTTAACTTTAAAAATTCAAAGGATATGAGTACTGCAATACAGTGTAAAGTGACATATTTCATTCCCATCAGACCCCATCTTACAGATTACAGCTGTAGGGCATTTTTATTAACTTAGCTTGAATATATCTCTTCTGTTGGTTTTAGTCTTTGTGAGAGTTTCTAATTTCATAAGAAATTAAACCTTTTAGTATGAAAGTGACTAGACTATATGATGTCTATCAATTCCTTAGGTAATATATTTCTTAATTTTCAGAATAAGTATGACCTTGCAGGAGAGGAGAAAACTGTTAAAATCTATGGGGATTTAAAACTTTTAGAGTCTTGTACTCTTGTCTGATCAGGCGTTTCCATGGCAAATTTGCATGTGGTGCTAATGAAGATTAAACACGTCCTACATTACAGAATGATGCCATGACTATTTTCATCCAAGTAACAATGAAATAGTAGTAGAATAATCAACAATATTTGTGACTGTATTTTCACAGACATTTTAACATAGTAAATTCATAATTAATATAAAATACTAAATTCAGATTTCTAGACAGTAAAATTATGTATGTATTAAAATTTAATATATTAAATCAATTAGAATTTCTATTATTATATATCCTTATATCAGTAGCAAACTTTTATAGAGCAGACCAATAGAAAAAAGGTTAACTGGCCAGGTGCGGGGGCTCATGCCTGTAATCCCAGAACTTTGGAAGGCTGAGGTGGGCAGATCACTTGAAGTCAGGAGTTCAAGACCAGCCTGGCCAACATGATGAAACCCCATCTCTGCTAAAAATACAAAAATTAGCTGGGTGTGATTGCAGGAGCCTGTAATCTCAGCTACTCTGGAGGCTGAGTCAGGAGAATCGCTTGAGCCCAGGAGGCGGAGGTTGCAGTGAGCTGAGATCACGCCATTGCACTCCAGCCTGGGCAAAAGAGTGAGACTTTGTTTCAAAAAGAAAAAAAAAAAGAAAGAAAAGAAAAGAAAAAAGGTTAACTCACACACACATCTATGTACATACATATCCATAAAGCCAATAAATCAAAAAATAAATTTGTTCCAAAAAATCAACTTGATATGAATATGATTTGGTCTTATATGTGCAGTAACAGATATGAATTATGCTCCACTAAATCACTCTTTTTCTGATTAAAAAATGAGTCTTTTTTATTGCTGTCTTAGTCTGATTCCAATAATTGTTTATATAATTTTGATTAGTAAGAGATTTTAGTTTATGGTAATAAGGGTTAATATTATCTATGTAAAATGTAAACCCATAACCTTAACTTTTTTCACTCTTCCTTTATGGGAAGAGCAGAATTCTGGTCCGAAAAGCTATGGATGAAATAAAAGAAACATAGTATGCGTTGTCATCACCGTCTTTGGCTTCTGTTCCCCTGTTGCTCTGAAAAGAAAAAAGTTTTGGTTTGTTTGTTTTCTTAACGTAAGAATACGCGGTCATCTGTTGATTTGCTGATTCTACGTTGCTATGGTTTGAGTGTGTCTGCTCCGAAATTCAGGTATTGCCAAAGTGATAGATTTAGGAGGTGTGGCCTCTAAGAGGTGATCAGATCAGGAGGGCTCCTTCCTCTTAAATGGGATTACAGTTGCAAAAGAAAAGGCTTCATGTAACTTTTGTTCTCCTGCTCTTCCGTCTTTCTCACACACAGCTTTGTTCCTGTCTGTAGAAGGCAGTTGAAACATCTGGTGCCTTGACCTTCTAAACCTCCAGAACTAGGAGAAATAAATTTCTTTCCTTTATAAATTACCCAGTCCCAGATATTTTGTTATATCAACATAAATGAAATGAGACATATGTATAACATTTGTCAAGAATTATTTTTCTCTGTATGACAGGCTTACAAAGTCTGGCCCTCTCATGAGGATGAACTCCTAATTTCTGGAGGGCCTGAGGAAGTTCTCTATGCACAGGTGCTTGTGTAGGAGGTGTGTCCAGGGCTTGGCTTCTTACTGACATGTGTGGTCATTTTCATTGCCTTTGGCATTGGGATCTCCTTATTCAGTGTGCTTCCTTCTCAGTGTCTAGAGACATGACTGAAGCTTCAGGCAAGACCATTGAAAATCCAACGACCTACACTAGTGTCCATGACTACTGTCAGGAAAGAAAAAAAAAAAAAAGAAAGTCACTCTCGCCCATCAAACATTCACAATGTAGACAATGTAGACAGCTTCTTGACAACTTTCTTAGTTCAGTTCCTCTGTCCTGCATATTTTTCCATACTTCAGCATGCTGATCAGTGATTATCACCAAGACCTTGCTTAGTTGTAGGGCTGTTTGGTACACTACATCATATACAACTGAGAATGTAGGAAACTAAATGAAGCTATTCTTAATAGAAAGAATGAAGGGATAAGATAATTTCTACTGCACAAAATTCATATCACTCTAGGAGAAGATATTTGTGTTGCCTGAAATAGTCCTGTACTCTGGATAGCTTACTAATATTTCTTTACACTCTGCCATGTAGAATTTAATAATTTGTTCTCAACACAGTGTTATCACTATTATAATCCCTTTACCTTTAAGTTACCTCAGGCAATAAAAACTTTCAAATGCTATCTGAATTCTGTTTCAATAATAAAAGTAAAATTGCCTGTCTAAAAAATAAATGAATTAATAAAAACATGGGAATATTCTACATTAGAATGTTTGCCCTATGATTTAGTAAACTCTATGGCTATCAACCTGTTCATATGGCTTTTTAATAATAAATTCCACAAAATGAAATCTTGTTATATATAAAATATTGGTTTAAATTATGTATAACAGCCATATGAAAATACTTATATTATTTTTCTAATACTATTTTAAAATTGAATTAATTTAAATGGCCAAATTCTTGTTAGAACAATACTTTTCCAGGATCATGGCCATTTAGATAATTAATTGGAATAGAGAGGAAATAAAAAAATCAGATAAGATCTGAGAGAAGGTCAAGAAAGCATGGAATGGATGATGCAGTGTAGCTGAGAAAAGTAACAACTAGAGTCTCATGATCGGTTACATAAATATTTTAACATTTACCCTAATTTTTCAATATAGTTCTTCCTACTATTTTATCTTAGTGTGTTGTTGGTTGTTAATATTACAAGTGAATGTGAGAGAATGTCAAATTAGGGTTATGACAAACCTCATGAAAAAATAGACATCAAGCAAACATGGACTTATAAATGGGTTCAATAACAGAAGATATTTTGAATTTTCTCCTTCTGAGTATAAGCTGAGAATAGCTTTTTTTTCCTCTAAAAGGCTGTTATTTGATGCTAGAATCTAACATTGATGAATTGAATGTGTAAATACAAAACTGTGGTGTATATTGATGTTGGGCACCCATGGTATGGGCTGGGCCTAAGTAGAAATCTGTCACATTTATGACTTTCTGAAATAAACTGAAACATACTGCTACACTTGGGGAAATTTATGCACAATTCTAACTTAGAGGTCAGAACTAAGACAGGCAGATACAGTTCCAGACTTAACACAACCCCCAGATTTGGTCTAGAAATGAAAATACTAAGATAAGGATTCAGCATATAGGTGCATTTTACTGTTTCCAGTGGTGATGGAAGTGTCTCTGTTTCAGTGGTTAAGGAAATAGAAGCAATTTACTAATGGGTGCAATATTGATATCTCATGAGGAAGTCACCTTGATGCTGGCAGTGGTATGTTAGGTATTTGCCTTTGGTGTGCCCAATAATTCTACATCAAATCTAGTAGGATTAAATAAATGCTTTTTATTAAACCAGTCAGAGTGAACCCTGTAGTTTTAACTAAGAATCCACCAATTTATTATATTTTCATATGTTTAAATGGATAAGAAAAAATAATGCAGAGAAATGTATTCTACACACAGTCTGTACTGTGAAGTAATGAAATTGGGAGTGACACCACTGTTACCCCAAGTAAACTACTAGCAAAATGTTTGCTTGCTGTACCCATGAGCTTATGCTTTGCTGGCTCCGAAGTCTTAGTTCCAAAGGGATAAATGTTTACAACAGGAGATACAGCAACAATGCCATTAAACTGGAACTTAAGCCTGTTACCTGGCAACTTCTGACACTTTATGCCTCTGAATCACAGGCAAAAAAGGTGTTTTTTGCTACCTGGGGCTTTCTGACTACCCAGTGGAAATTGGACTACTACTCTACTAGGGAGGCAAGAAAGAGAATGTCTAGAATGTTGGAGATCCCTTAGTGTATCTCTTAGCATTACCATACCCTATGAATGAAGTTAATGGAAAATTACAAAAGCCCAATTCAGGTAAAACTATGAACAGCATAGAACTTCCAGGAATGAAAGACTGGATCACCCCATCAAGTAAAGGACCATGACTAGTTTAGTTGATTGCCAAGGGCAAAGGGAATACGAAATGGTTAGCAGAAGGAGGTAGCTGTAAATACCAGATGACCAATTGCAGAAACAAGGACTATAATCCTCATGAGTATGTCTTCCTTATTTTATTATGAATATGTGTATTTTTGTGTGTGTAGCAAATTCTTTTGTTTTCTTTCCTCTTTTATTGCCTAATCATGTAACAAAAGATGCATTGAATTTGTTTCAGGATGTAAACTTTATATCACAGTGTTGAACATACTGTGATGGTTAATTTTATGTCTATTTGACTGGATTCAGGGATACCCAGATAGCTAATAAAGCATTATTTTTGAGTTTGTCTGTGAGAGTGTTTCCAAAAGAGATTAGCATTTGAATCAGTGAACTGAGTAATAAAGCTCTACTCTTATCCAATGTGAGGGGTCACTATCTAATGAGCTGATGGTCAAGATAGAGCCAAAGGCAGAAGATAGGTGAATTATCTTTCTCTCTTTTCTGGAGTTGGAACACCCTCCTTCTCCTGCCCTTGGACACCAGAGCTTCAGGTTCTCTAGCCTTCAGACTCCAGAACTTGCAACAGCATCCTGAGCCCCAGGTTCTCAAGCCTTGGAGGGAGAGTTTCACTATTATCTGCCATGGTTCTCAGGCCTTCAAGCATGGCTTTATCTGTTTCTCCAGCTAGCAAACTATCATGGGAATTTTCAGCCTCCGTAATTGTATGAGCCAATTCCCCTAATAAATCCCTGCTCACGTATCAATATGTATTTATATCTGAAGAACCTTGTTTAATACACATATATACAGAGTATTTAAATTGTGGTATTTAGCAATTTTACACCATACTATTTAATAGTATTTAAGCTATAAACAAAATATTAAGGAGAAGAGTGAACATCTCCCAAAGACTGCATCCTTTTCAGGGGAAATGGTTAATGTGTTTTTGGTTATATATTGGATAATTGTACTATTTCAGGCAGAAATATGGCCTTGTAATTGTCTTTATTTTGAGATTTAGAATAATTAAAGGAGATGCATATGGGTGTCAAGTTGACAAGGAGTAGTCTTTTGACAGTTAATTTTATTTGTCAATATGATTAGGCCATTAAGATCCAGATATTTAGTCCAACATTATTCTAGATGCATCTGCAAAAGTATTTGTTAGATGAGATTAACATTTAAATCAGTAGACTTTGAAGAAAACAGATTACCTTCCATAGTGTGGGTAGGTCTCATCTAATTAGTTGAAAGCCTTAACATGAAAAGGTGAGCCTCGCTGGAGGAAGAGCAAATTCTGCAAGCTGAAGGTCTTTGGATTCAAACTGTGAAAGAGAGAGAGAGAGAGAGAGAGAGAGAGAAGATATTTACTGCAAGAAATTGGCTTACCTGATTGATGATTGTGGGGGATGGCCAGGCAAATCTGAACCACATAGAGAAGACCACCAATACAGGCAGGTTAGAAACTTTTAGGCTGGTGGAATTTCTCCTCTTCTTTAGAAAACTCTACTGATCCTGAGGAATTTAAACGATTGAAACTGGTCCATCTATTCAGATCATCCAGTATAATCTCCTGTCCTTTACAGTCAAATGGTGTAGATGTTAATCATATCTAAAAAAATGCCTTTACAGAACACCTACATTAGTGCTTGATTGAATAATTGGGTACTATTGCCTAGTCAAGTTGACGCATAAAATTGAACATCAGAGCATATGTGCATTACACACTAATTAATTTCACCTATATTTAGAGAGCACCTATAACTTGTCAGGGGTCCTCAAGTTTGCTATAAATAAAAAACTGTTCTTAAAAATAAAGTATGCTATAAAAAGGAGTAGCCTATGGATATTCAGAGAAAGGATAAAAAAGAAACAATTTAATAGACAATAGTAAATGATGATTTCGAACAATAAGGCTACAGTGTAGGTGGAAAAATAATAGGGTAGATAGACTGAACTCCTTTAATTGTGCTTGAGCGGTGGGTTCATAGTGTGCCACTTACCAAGATGAGAAACACTGGGAAAGAAATACATTCAGGGACATGAGGACAGGAAGTCAGTTTTTATGATGGCAATTTTGAAATTTTTATTGGATATGTAATTTAAAATGTTGTATGCCTAGTTGGACTCTGAAAATAAGTTTGTTGTGTAGTATATTATCATAGTTGTCCTATAAATTAGGCCTACTTGATTCATTATAGCCTCCTCCCACATTGACTCTGTCATTACAATGTGAATTGCTTTATTCAAGTGGACATTGATAAACATGATGCAAACAGAGATTTGGAAAGTTTCTGAGCAAAGGAGCTTATTATCACTTTCTTCAACGAGTCTATCATCTGACCAAATGAAGGCTGTATACTACTGGAGGATAAAGATGTGGAGAGATGAGCATTCCAAACTGAATGCTCATCACATGCCCAATTACAAAACACCAGTAACCAAAACTGCATACATTATCTCAGGCAAGACCTTCAGGAGAACCACCCAACTTAGACAAGTGAAAATATTTCACTCAGAGAATCAGGAACATATTCAATGCATTTTGTTATAAGAGAAAAAATAAAACTTCTATGGTGTGTGATGGTTTGGTATGCAGAAATAGATAACTAATTCCATGTTAGATGTGGTTTTTGGAAAAATAAGTTTACATTCTTTATGAAACACTAATAATTGGATTAAATATCTATGTGATAAAAATACATAACAAAAACAAGAGAATTGTGACAATGCCAAATGGCCAAATGCCGATGAGGATGTGGAACAAAAGGAATTATTATTCATTGTTTTTGGGAATGCAAAGTGGTACAACCACTTTCAAAGACAGTTTGGCAGTTTCTTAGAAAACTGGAGATACTCTTACCATATAATCCAGCACTTTTTGGTAATTACTCAAATCAGTTGAGAGCTTATGTTAATATAAAAATCTGCACACAGATGTTTATAGCAACTTTATTCAAAACTTCAAAAACTTGGAAGCAAGTAAGATGTCTTCCAATAGATGAATGAATAAACAAACTTTATCACATCCAGACAATTGCATATTGATCAGTGCTAAAAAGAAATGAGCTAGAAACCATGAAAGGCCATGAAGAAAACTTAAATGCATGTTGCTTAGTGAAAGATGACAATAAAAAAATACTGCATACTGTATTATTTTGACTATATGATATTCCAGAAAAGGCAAAACTATGGAGACAGCAAGAAGATCAGTGGTTTCCAGAGGTTGAGGGTAAGGAAAGGATAAATAGGTGGAGCACAGAGGAATTTCAGGGCAGTGAAATGATTCCATAGTTACTATAATGGTGGACAGTAGCTAGTATAATGTTACGTGCATGTCGTTACACATTTGTTGAAACCCATACGTTGTATAGCACCAAGAGTGAGCCCTAATGTAAACCATAAAATTTGGATAATAATAATTTATTAAACTAGGTTTATCAATTGTAACAAATGTACCACTTTTCTGTGAGATCTCTATAGTGGGGAGATTGCATATTTGCAACAAGGCATAAGCGTATAAGAACTCTGTTTTTCAACTCAGCTCTGCTGCAAACTAAAATTGCTCTGAAAAGTAAAGACTATTTTTTTTCAGAAAAGGATTGGACTTTCCTTTTGGGGATTATGTAATAGACAAACATTTTCTATTTCTCCACTGAGTATAACTAAAACCCTGAACATTAAATATAAAATGCACATGCAAATGGTATACAGACAGAATTCTGATTTTATTCATAAGTTAATTAAGGTAGAAAATAAAAGCAAGGATGCATATGGTTTTTGTTGAGAATATTTGCTGTAAATAAATTTAGAAAAAGAACATGATTGACAGAAGTACAAGGTCAAGGAATATTAGATTGTTGATAGATAGGATAGATCGATAGACAGATATAGATAGATAGATAGATAGATAGATAGATAGATAGATAGATAGATTCTTATGTTGAAGGCCTAACACTAAATGAAATGTATTTAGAGATGAGGCCTGTAGGAGTCATTTAGGTTTAAATTAGGTTACACAGGTGTGGTCCAATGATGGAATTAGTTAGTGCTCTTAAAAGTAAGAGAGACAACAGCTATCTCTTTCCCTTCGAGCTGCCATGTGTAGACATAGTGAGAAGAGAGTGGTCTTCAAACCTAGTAGTGGGCTTTCACCAGAAAACAGAATTGTCTGGCACCTTAATCTTGTACTTCTAAGCCTTCAGATCTGTGAGAACATAAATTTCTTTTGTTTAAGACATCTAGTCTGTGTCATATTGTCTACACATAATTTTAATTTATTTGTGGTTAGACAAAATCTACTTTCTTGGCAATTTTCAAGTATAAAATACATTGTTATTAACTATAATTACTATGTTTATAGAATCAATCTCTTGAGCTTATTGTTTCTAAGTGAAATTTTGTATACTTCAACCATCTCCCACTCTTCTTTCTCAACCCCTTGGTAACTACCATTCTACCCTGTTTCTATGAATTTGTCTTTTTTTAGATTCCACATATAAATGAGATTATGTAGTATTGTGCCTTGCTTATTTCACTTAGCATAATGTCCTTCAGATTCATCTATCTTATTGCAGATGACAGAATTTCCTTTATTTTAAAGACTGAATGGTACTGTATTGTGTGTATTTACCACATTTTCTGTATTCATTCATGCTGTGAAAGAATGAATATTAATGACACATAAGTCAATTCCAACTGAGCTTGGCAACTGTGACTAATGATGCAATGAACATGGGAGTGCAGTTATCTCTTTGATGTACTAACTTTCTTTCTTTGTGATGTGTACCCAATAGTGAGATTATTAAATTATGTTGTTCTATTTTTACTTTTTAAAATAACATTCATATTATTTTCCTTTATGGCTCACATAATTTATATTCCCACTACTAGTGTGCTAGAGATCCCTTTTCTCCACATCCTTGCCAACACTTGTCATCTTTTGTCTTTTTGAAATTGTCATTCTAACAGGTGTGAGGTGATATCTCATTGTGGTATTAATTTGCATTTCTCTGATGATTAATGATGTTGAGAATTTTTTCATATACCTATTAGCTATTTGTATTTCTTCTAAGAACTGTATTCACTTCATTGCCTATTTTTTATTAGGATTATTTGTTTTCTTGCTGTTCAGGTGTTTAATTTTCTTACACATTTTAGATATTAACTACTTATCATATGTATGTTTTGCAAATATATTCTCCCATTCCATAGGTTGTCTCTCCTTTGCTGTGCAGAAACATTTCAGTTTGATGGGTTTCCATTTGTCATTTTTGCTCTTGTTGTCTGTGCTTTTTGGGTCATATCTACTAAAAAAAAAAAAAGTACCCAGGTCAATGTTTGGCACTTTTGCCTTATGTGTTTTCTCTAATAGTTTTACAGTATGAAAACAAGTTTAAGCAGTTTATATTTTGTTACAGCAGCCTATATTAGTCAGGGTTCTCTAGAAGGACAGAACTAATAGAATAAATGTACATATAAAGGGGAATTTATTAAGGAGTATTGACTCACTTTATCACAAGGTGAAGTCCCACAATAGGCCTTCTGTAAGCTGAGGAGCAAAAAAGTCAGTCAGAGTCCCCAGACCTCAAAAGTAGAAAAGCCAAAAGTGCAACCTTCAGTCTGTAGCTGAAGGCCAGAGAGTTCCTGGCAAACTGCTGGTGTAAGTCCAAGAGTCCAAAAGCTGAAGCACTTGGAGTCCAATATTTGAGGGCAGGAAGCATCCAGCATGAGAAAAAGATGAAGGCCAGAAGACTCAATAAGTCGCTCTTCCTTCTTCTCCTGCCTGCTTTATTCTAGCCTTGCTGGCAGACTCTCCCAGGCCACTGACTCAAATGTTAATCTTTTTTGGCAACTCCCTCACAGACACACCCAGGAACAATACTTTGCATCCTTCAGTCCAATCAAGTTCACACTCAATATTAATCAGCACACAACTTCAATTAAGGTAGATAGATAGATAGATAGATAGATAGACGATAGATCAATGGATAGATGTATACATACATAAACAGAGACATACATAAATCTATTTAAATACAGGTGAGTGACACCACAGTATGAAATTATGCTCATGCTAATCATCCAACACAAAAATGGAAATTGAGCATTCAAGAAATATCTCTTGTTTTGTTGCTTTTCATTTTCACCTGTGGAAAACTGACAGTTTAAAAATCCACTTACCTTATCATTTTATTAAAAACTAATCATAACAAATTTATAAAATATTGGCAAATTTAAAAGAGTAACATATATATTTACATGCCTAAATATATTTTTAAATAAATGACAACAGAGCATCAGTAGTTACATAATAAGTTACACAATTAACTTAGTGGAAGTCTAATCCAATGTCAAGGTGTCACAAATGAGGAACCTGAACGAGATGCAATATCAAAAGACATTTATCTATAATCTTAACTTTGGAGGGAAATTCAACAGACACTTATGTCAGCTACACAAAAAGATAAACACATATTCCAAGGAAGATAACTGAATAGAAGCCTCCAGTGACCATTCCCCCTGCAGGAACACCAAATTGAACAATGATGCACACAATGAAAGCAACTTTATAAGAACCAAAAATCAGTTGAGCAATCACAGTACCTGGTTTTTAACATCATATTAAGGAAGGAGGCACTGAAAAGTATAGAAAATAGTCTCAAATTGCCAAGACGACCCTGCCCCATCCACCCGCAGTAGCTGCATAGTGTGAGAATCTGTGCCCTTGGTTGAGGGACAGAGCAGTAATTGTGAGATTTTTCATTGGAATTCAGGACTGCCCTGTGACACTGGAAAGCAACATGAGGCAGAAATCAGTTGGTGCCCATAAAGGAAGCATCTAGACCAGCCCTAATTAGAGGTGAATCTCTCATTCCAGCAGTCAGAGCCTGAGTTCTGGCAAGTCCCAGCATGGTGGGCTAAATGGCTTTGGGTTCTAAATAATCTTGAAACAGTCTAGGCCACAAGGACTGCAATTCCTTGGCAAGTCCTGGCGCTCCACTTGACTCAGGGCTAGTGGACTTGCAGTGCCTAGTGTCTATATATGACTAGTGAGACACCAGCTGGCATGGCCAAGGGAGTGTTTGTGTCACCCCTCTGCCAACCCCAGGAAGCACAGCTTGTAGCTCCAAAAGAGACTCCTTCACTCTACTTGAGGAGAGGAGAAGGGAGAGTTAAGGGGACTTTGTCTTGCAACATAGATACCAGCTCAGCCACATTGGAATAGGACACCAGGCTTAGTGCTAAGGCTACCATTTCAGGACTTAGATTTCACACATTTATAAACACAACCTGGGCCAGAAGGAACCCACTGCCTTGAAAGGAAGAACAAAGTCCTGACAGGATTCATCACCTGCTAACTAAAGAGTATTTGGGCCCTGAACAATCAACAATGGAAGCCAGGCAGTACTCTCAGCAGGCCTTGGGTAAGACTCAGAGCCATGCTGGAATCAAGGGTGACCCAGCACATTCCCTGATGCAGTGGCCATGGGGAGACATATCTTTTAGTTAAGGAAAGGAGAAGGAAGAGGAAATGAGACTTTTGTCTTGAAGCTTTGGTACCAGCTTGGTGTAGAGAACCACAGTGGCATAGAGAACCAAACAGTTTCCTAGGGTCATCAATCCCAGGCCTTGGTTCCTGAATGGCATTTCTGGACCAATCAAACCAAATAAGTCACCAGTGATCAACCCCAGAGTGACAGAGATCTGTGACCTTTCAGACAGAGAATTCAAAATAGCTGCTTACAGAAAGTTCAATGAAATTAAAGATAACACAGAGAAGGAATTCAGAATCCTCAGATACATTTCACAAAAAGTTTAAAATAATTAAAAAGAAACAAGCAGAAATTCTGGAGCTGAAAAAATGCAAATAACATACTAAAGAATGCATTAGAGTCTCTTAACAGTAAAACTGATCGAACAGAAGAAAGGATTAGTGAGCTTGAAGACAGCCTACTTGACAATACACAGTCAGAGGAGACAAAAAGAAAACAATAAAAAAGAATGAAGCATGCCTACAAGACCTAGAAAATAGGGTAGTGTGTGGTGGCTCACGCCTTACCTCAGCACTTTGGGAGGCTAAGGCAAGTGGATATCTTGAGCCCAGCCTAGGAGTTTAAGAACAGCCTGTGCAACATGTTGAAACCACGTATCCACAAATAAGTACAAAAAATTAGCTTGCCATGATGGTCCATGCCTGCAGTCCCAGCTACTCAAGAAGCTAAGGTGGGAGCACTGCTTGAGCCCAGTGGGGTGGTGGGTGGTGGTAGTGCAAGGCTGTCATGAGCCATGATCATGCCACTGTACTCCAGCCTGGGTGACAAAGTGAAACCCTGTCTGAAAAACAAAACAAGCCCCAAAACAAGATCTAGAAAATACCCTAAAAAGGGCAAATCTGAATTATTAGCCTTCAAAAGGAGGTAGAGAGAGACATAGGGGTAGAGAGTTTATTCAAAGGGATAATAACAGAGAACTTGCAAAACCTAAGAAAGATATCAATATGCAAGTACAAGTAAATTATAGAGCACCAAAAAGATTTAACCCAAATAAGAGTACTTCAAAACATATAATAATTAAACTCCCAAATGTCAAAGATAAAGAAATGATTCTAAAAGCAGTAAGAGAAAAGAAATAAGTAACACATAAAGGAGCTCCAATATGTCTGGAAGAAGACTTCTCAGTGGAAATTTTATGGGCCAGGAGAGAGTGGTATAACATACTTAAAGTGCTAAAGAATAAAAACTTTTATCCTACAATGGTATACCCAGCAAAAGCTATCCTTCAAACATGAAAGAGAAATAAAAACCTACTCAGACAAACAAAAGCTGAGGAATCTCATCAACATCAGACCTGTTCTACTAAAAATGCTAAAGGGAGTTCTTCAATCTGGAAGAAAAGTACATTAAGGAGCAATAAGAAATCACCTGAAGGTACAAAACTCGCTGGTAATGGTAAATTCAGAGAAAAACACAGAATATTATAGTACTCTAATTATAGGTTGTAAACTACTTATATCTGGAGCAGAAAAAATAAAAGATGAACCTAATGAAAATAATAACTACAAAAACTTTTCAAGACATAGGATAAACAAGTAAATAAAAACAACAAAAAGTTAAAAAGTGGAAAAGGATAAAGTTAAAGTGTAGCATTTTTATTAGATTTCTTTTTGCTTGTGAGGTTTGTTTATGCAATCGTTGTTATCAGTTTATAATAACAGGTTGTAAGATATTATTTGCAAGCCTTCTGGTAACCTTAAATCAAAATTATACAACAGATAAGCAAAAAATAAATAACAGGAAATTAAAACATACCACCCGAAAAAATCTTCACTAAAAGAAAGACAGGAAGGAAGAAAAGAAGGAAGAAAGGATCACACACACAAAAATAAGAAAACAAAAAACAAATGGCAGGAGTAAGTCCTTACTTATCAATAATAACCTTGAATGTAAATGGATAAACTCTCCAATCAAAAGACACAGAGTGGCTAAATGGATTTTTAAAAAAAGACCTGAAGAACTATTGCTTAGAAAAAAAATATTTCATCTATAAAGACACACAGATACTGAAAATAAAGAGATAGAAAAAGATATCCCATGCAAAATGAAAACCAAAAAGAGCAGAAGTTACTGTAGTTTTATATAAGACCAAATAGATTTCATAACAAAAATTATAAAATCAGATGATGGTCATTGTATAATGATAAAGGGGACAATTCAGCAAGAAGATATAACAATTATAAATATATATGTACCCAACACTAGAGCACCCAGATATATAAAGCACATATTATTAGAGTTTAAAAGGAAGATAGACCCCAATGCCATAATAGCTAGATACTTTAGCTAGATACACACAACTTTCAGCATTGGATAAGTCATCCAGAGAGAAAATAAACAAAGAAACTTCAAACTTATCTGCACCATAGACTAAATGGACTTGATTGATATTTACAGAACATTTTATTCAACAGCTGCAGAATATACATTATTCTGCTCAACACGTGTATCATTCTCAAAGATAAACTATATGTTAGGCCACAAAACAAGTCTTAAAAAATTCAAAGAAATTGGAACTTTATCAAGTATCTTCTCTGATCATATTGAACAAAACTAGAAAACAACAACAAGAGAAATTTGGGGAACTATAAAGCACATGGAAATTAAACAATATGCTTCTGAATGACCACTGGATCAATGAGGAAATTAAGAAGAAAAAATTTTAAATTTCTTAATACAAATGAAAATGGAAACACAGCACACCAAAACCTATGGGGATACAGTGAAAACAATACTAAGAAGAAAGTTTATAGCAATAAGTGCTTACATCAAAAAAGTAGACAAACTTCAAATAAACAACCTAAAAATTCTTCTTAAAGAATTAGATAAGTAAAATAAAACTAAACCCAAAATTAGTAGAAAAAATAAATAAGAAAGATTAGAGCAGGGATAAATTGAAAAAACAATTCCAAGATCAACGGAATTAAAAGCTGCTTTCTTGAGAAGATAAACTAAATTGATAAACCTTTAGCCAGATTAAGAAAAAATAGAGAGAAGATCCAAATAAAGTCAGAGATGAACAAAAAAAATTACAACCGATACTTCAGAATTTCAAAGAGTCATTAGAAGCTATTACTATGAGCAACTGAATGCCAATTAATTGGAAAACTTACAATAAAAATATAAATTTCTAGACACATACAATCTATCAAGTTTGAATCACAAAAAATCCAAAACCTATGCAGACCCATAATATATAATAAAATCAAAGCTATAATAAAAAGTCTTCCAGCAAAGAAAAGCCTGGATTCACTGCCGAATTTTACCAAAAATTTAAAGAACGATGAATACTAATCCTAGTCAAAATATTCCATAAAATAGAGGGGAGGAGATACTTTTAATCTCCTTCTACAAGTCCAGTATAACTCAGATACTAAAACCAGACAAAGACGCCTCAAAAAAAGAAAATACAGGCCAGTATTCTTGAGGAACATTGAGGCAAAAATCCTCAACAAAATACCAATGAAAAAAATTCAACAACACATTAAGATCATTCATCACGACCAAATTGTATTTATCCCAGAAATGAAAAGATGGTTCAAAATATGCAAATCAATCAATGTGACACATTATATCAACAGAATAAAAGACAAAAATGCAATCACTTCAACTTATGCTGAAAATGCATTTGATAAAATTCAGTATACTTTCATGATGAAAACCCTCCAAAACCTGGTTATAGAAGGAATATACCTCAATACAATAAACACCATATATGAGGGACCCACAGCTAGTATCATGCTGAATGAGAAAAAACTGAAAGACTTTTCTGTAAAATCAAGAATAATACAAATATGCCCACTTTCATCACTGTTACTCAACACCATATGAGAAGTCCTAGCTAGAGCAGACAAGAGAAAGCTATAAAGGGCAACCAGATTGGAAAGGAAGAAGACAAATTATCCCTGCTTGCAGATGATATGATCTTATGTTTGGAAACAAAGCCTCCACCAAAAAAACTGTTAGAATGGATCAACAAATCCTGTAAAGTTGCAGGTCACAAAATCAGCATACAAAAATTAGTAGCATTTCTATATGCCAACAGTTAATAATCTAAAAAAAAAACCTAAGAAAGTAATTCCATTAACAATAGCTACAAATAAAATATCTAGTAATAAACTAGATATTTAAATATTATTATTTAGATAATAATAGATAATAAAATATTATATTATTAATATTGGTTAATAGCTCTGGTTGCTATAACAAAATACAATAGAGTGCTTAAATGTAAGACATGGAATTGTGTAAGTGTTAGAGGAAAATACAGAGGAAACCTTCTGCATTAGACCGTTTTTATTCTTGTATTGCTATAAAGAAATACCAGACCCAAAAAAGTTGAGGCTGCAGTGAGCCAAGATCATGCCACTGCACTTCAGCCTGGGTGAAAGAGCGAGACTCCATCTCTAAAAAAATAGAAAGAAATATCAGGGACTGGGTAATTTATAAAGAAAAGTAGTTTAATTTGTTCTGGGTTGTGCAGACTTTAAAGTGTGGCATCAGCATCTGCTTCTGGTGTGGGCCTAAAAACTTACAATCATGGTGGAAGACAAAGAGGGAATAGGCATCTCACGTGAGAATGGGAGTTAAGAGAGAGTGGAGGGGAAGATGCTGCATACTTTTAAACAGCCAGATCTCATGATAACTTACTATCACAAAGACAGTACTCAGGGGATAGCACTAAACCATTTATGAGAAATACACCCCCATGATCCAATCACCTCCTACTAGGCCCCACTTCCAACATTGTGGATTACAATTCAACATGAGATTTAGAGGGGACAACATCTGAATTATGTCAACTTCCATAACATTGGTCTGGGCAATAATTTTTTGGTTGTGACCCCAAAGCACAGGCAACATACCCATCAATCTCATATAGTTTACCTTATTCATGTGTGTGTGGGAAGAGTACCTAAAATGTACTCTCTTGGCAAATTACCAGTATGCAATACAATAATATTAGTTGTAGTCACTTTATACATTAGATCTCTTGACTATTTTATCCTACATAACTGCAACTTTGTACACTTCAACCTATAGCTTCCCATTTCCTGCCATTCTCTCTCCCTCTTACCCTGGTAACCACTGTTTTACCCTCTGTTTCTGTGCATTGGATTTTTTTTTAATTTTTAGATTTCACATACATGTGAACAAAGCAAAGTGTTAAAAGCAGTTCATCTGCTTTTAACCATAAATCCAAATTGACTAGAATAACACCTTGCTTTGAATTTTGGAAATTAGTATAGGCTTATTTATGTACCATTTATGTACAGTGAATTCTTTCTTTCTAGTGTAGAGTTCTATTAATTTTGAAAAATGAAAATAATTATGTAACTATCACCAATGTCAAGATAACCAGTATCAAAATAGAAGAGTTTCATCCTACTTCAAAATTTTCTCTGGACACTTTGTAGACAATCACTTCTCACCCACATACTTTCCTAGTGGCTTTATGCTTTTATGCTGTAGGGAAAAATAGTCTGGGCATGTGGATTAAGAAGATCCTCAATCTTTCATGCAATGGAGCCACTTTCCTCCTTCAAGCCTGCACCAATGAGAAAGGCTGTTTTTGATTTTCCTCCTTGGTTCCAGTCTTTCTATTTAGTGCCTCGTGGCAGTTCATGTGTCAGTAGATTGCCAGTGGGTTCAACTATTTCTTCTCAGTGGCTTCCAAGGTTTTCTGTGCTAGCTTACATTCCACTATCAGCAATTTGTTAGAATGTTTAGCTGCATTCTTCCCACCTGCTTCTTTGGTTGGTTCCCAGCATCCATTTATCTCATGCCATGGCACAGATGATCCAATGCCCCAGTTCCATGTTTCTTTGGGAGTACTTGATGTTCCATAGTATTCAGACTGCTTGGTTGCAGTGTGATTTCAATTATCTGATGAGTTCAAAAATTGTATCTGACTTCTTCTTGCTGTAAAACAGGACCAATTTTGTTCTCAGCTTCCTACATTCTAGGGGAAAAGCGACTGTCTTCTTGATTTGGATCCTAACATACCAGTTCGATTTTCTGGAATTTTCAAGAATCATGTACATTTTTTCAGGGATTTATAGAATTATCTTGCCTTTGTCTTCTAAATATAATGCATAAATATTTTATTTAGATGAAACCTATAAATTTTAACAGCAAACTTATCATTGCACACTTATCTTCAAATATGCGGTTCTCACCAAACACTCCTGGAGAAAAAATACACAATATCCATAAGCATAATGTAATCCATGGTATCAATTTTAACCCAGAAAACTTGTTGAGCATTCAGTATAAGCGGTTAAGAACATAATCTTTGGTAGAGAGTAATGTTAAAAAAAAAAAAACTTTTCTATTTTTCTTGGTATGTGACTTTTGACTAGTTTATTAACCTTATCAATTTTCTAAAATTGATATAATAATAAATTACAGATTTTTGTACAGATTGGATTAGTTAATTCATATGGATTTTTTTGCATTTAACTTCTGAGTAAAATTCTTATTACATATTTGTTGTTATTTTAATTATCTTCATATAATTAGTGGCATCATCATGAGATCAGTTCTCTAATATCAAGTGATTTAAAATAACTGGCAAAATACCACTAGATTGGAGGATAATATGGACCATTTTTATTTGCTATTATTTAAGAAAGATGTAATAGATTTTAAGTCTACAGAATTATGTAACAATAATTCTAGTTTTGTAGAATCCTGTACGATGTGCATATCTCAAGTGAATTGTAACCTTTTTTAAAAAACACTTGAATTGAATGTATACACAAGACAAACCTAATGAAAAGGGAAATTACAAAACTAGAAAATAAAGAATAACCAGGGATATATTTATTTTTATTTGTCTAGAGCCTAGATTAGTTTTGGTACATGCTATGGACTGAATTGTGCCCCCGCCCCATTCATATGCTGAGACTTTAGTCACCAATGTGACTGTATTTGGAAATAGGGCCTGTGAAGAGATATTAAAGGTGAAATGAAGTCATATGGGAGAAGATCTAGTTTAATAGGGCTTGTGGCCTTATAAGAAGAGACGCCAGAGCTTGTCTTTGCCGCCATGTGGGAGCAGAGGAAAAAGGAGGCCATCTATAAGCCAGGAAGAGTTCCCTCACCAGAAACCAACCCAGCTGGCACCTTGGTCTTGAACTGCCCAGCCTCTAGAACAGTGAGAAGTAAATTTCTGTTGTTTAAACCACCCACTCTATTGTATTTTCTTATGACAGACTAGACAGACTAATACAGTACCCAAAAAGGGAAATTTAAGTCAAAGCGGTTAGTATTTAATACCATATATGCAATTTACATTTTATACCGTGAATAAAAATTATATATACAATAAAAATTAAAAACGTTAAAACCTCAGATGACTATTGCATAATCTGAACAGAAGTCAAATATTTTATAACTAACTTTCATTTACATAGGAGGTTCTATAGTTACTTTCAATAAAATTTCCAGATACATTGCAATGTAGTAGATGCTTTTTGGCATTTTTATGTACAGACATTTAAAATGATATCAGGAGATCAACAGATATTTTAAAATTAAAGTTTGTAGGTTTGTCTTTCATTGAGTACAATTATGTACCTGAAATTATAATAGGTATTAAAACAATTATTTAAAAAGGTGAAAATTCCAATTAAATATTTACATAAGTGAAAATATTAATTAACTAGGCTATTTATTCAAAGATTATTTTAAGGTAAAAACCAAAAACCTCTGCTATTACAATCCAAAGGCATTTGTTAATTATTAATAAACTCATTATATGCTTTAGTATTTGCAAAGTTTAAACTCTTTTAGTCTACAAAAATAATGTTCTGAATGATCATGGAAAGAAAATATAACAATTATCATAAATAATAAATTATACTCTTCTTAGTCATTAAAATGTTCTCTGTTTTAGTTGTTTTCTTCCCCCAGAGCATTGACACAAAAAGGAATTTCTAATTAGTCTTTAAATAATCAGAATTTTAATGAAATTTTCACATTACTCCCTGAAAGTTCTGATTAATTAGGTCTTGCTCTCTAAGGGATTATTCGTATAATGCAGGAAAAAAGGCAAATAGAAATAAAACTGTAAAACTTTACTAAACATAGGATAATTGAATAGAATTCAATCACCCATTCAAAATTAAATTGAGAGCCTAATTGAATCAAAGCTTAAATAATACACTATAGTCTACGATCATGGTTAAATTTTTTCAGGTTTTCTCTGGAGGCATTTCTGGAAGTGCTTTTCTTATTATAAGGTACAAACACAGGATACATCTAAATATTAAAACTGGAAGCTATTTATTTCAAAACTTGTATGTAGAAAAAATGTAAAAGTTCAGTGAAATATGCCATTTAAGTATTTTGATAGGTTAATAAATGCAGATTGAAAAATGTAATCGATTTGAATTCTGTTAAACAATTTTTCATAAACAGAAAAACCCATGGCCAAAGAATCATATAACTATTGTTATTTTAAAGTGTTTTACCTTTAGATTTTTTATTTGATTCTAATGATTATATGCATCTTGATGAACAAGACAAAAGAATCATAACAGTTGAAGTCAAAGAACTACTGTACATGAAGGAATCAATGAGTCTAATGAAATGGAATATCACTTTAAAATTTAATTTTTTTTATTTTGTTCTCTGAGAATAATGTCGCTAGAGAATGAGAGAAAACATGAAATAAAATGATTGAGAACTGGTGTTAATACTGTGATTGTATGCATCAAACTGTAAATGGGCTTTTCTATAACTGCAACAATATTAATCACAGATTCAACTTATACACAAATTTATTAATGAATCATGAGGGAGATTAAAAACTAACTGATGATAAATAAACACAAAAAACATCACATACAAAAACTTATGAGATGTAGCAAAATCAGGGCTCAGAGGGAAATTTATAGCTGTAAATGCCATATTTAAACAAAAAAAATAAAGGTCTTAAGTCAGTGACCAAGCCTTCTACCTTAGGAAACTGGAAAAAAAAAAAAGAGAAAACTTTCCATAAGCCAACGCAAGCAGATGGAAAAAATTAATATAAATTAAAATAGAAGTAAATGAAAAACATCATAGATAAACAATAATGAAAATTAATCAAGCCAGAACAGAATGTCAATATTTTATTTTGATTGACAAAGAAAAAAGAACAGAGACTCAAATAACCAGAATCAGTAATGAAAGCGGGAACATTACTTCTTAGCTTACAAATAGAAAGAATTCTCATGCCTGTAATCCCAGCACTTTGAGAGGCTGAGGCTGGTGGGTCACCTGAGTTCAGGAGTTCGAGACCAGCCTGGCCAATGTGGTGAAACCCTGTCTCTATTAAAAAAAAAAAAAAACACAAAAATTAGCTGGACGTGGTGGTGGGCACTTGTAATCCCAGCTACTTGGGAGGCTGAGGTGGGAGAATAACTTGAACTGGGAGGTGGAGGTTGCAGTGAGCTAAGATCATGCCAGTGCACTCCAGCCTGGGCAACAAAAGCAAAACTCTGTCTCAAAAAAAAATAAAAAATAAATTTAAAAAAAAGAGAATACCATGGACAACCAGATATCCAAAAAATCAGACATCCTAGATGAAATGAAAAAATCCCAAGAAATACACAAACAAACCACACAAAGAAAAAAAACTGACTCAAGTAAAATCAAAATTATAAGCAGATTTATAATAAGTAAAGGGATTAACTAGTGATTAAAAAAAATCCTAGAAAGGAAAAAAAAAAATAGGCCCAGATAGTCACTGGTGAATTCTACCAAATATTTAAAGAAAATTTTCATGGTAAACGCTTCCAAATAATAGAAAAGTGGGGAACACTTCTCACTCAACATGTTTTATGAGGCCCCTATTACCCTGATACAAAATTCATACTAAAAGGAAATAATAAAAAGAAAGAAAGAAAAAGAACTAATGACCAATGTTCCTTATGAATATAGATATAAAATCTTAATAAAATACTAATAAACATAATCTAGCAAATGGAACAAAAATTAGCTGGGCATGGTGGTGGGCACCTGTAGTCCCAGCTACAGGAGGCTGAGACAGGAGAATCCTTAGAAGCAGCAAGGTGCAGGTTGCAGTGAGCCGAGATCTCGCCATTGCACTACAGCCTAGGCAACAAGAGAAAAACTTCATCTCAAAAAAAAAAAAACCAAAAAAAAAAAAAAAAAAAAACTATTAGAAGTAAAAATGTTAAACAAATTTTCAGGTTAAAAAAATCGATGTACCAAAATAAATTTTATGTCTATACACAAACAACTGATAATCTGAAAAGGAATTTGAGAAACAATTCAATTTATTTAAAAATTTGGTAGTAAAATATTCATTAACAGAATATTTGAAAAATTTAAAGATATGAAAGTTTTTTAAAGTAATAAAAGTATGAATAACTTTGGTTGAAAAATGTACCTGTGTATATTTTATAATTCATGTACTTAAAACATGTACATTAAATTGTTCTATTTGGAGTGAAAGCATTTGAGTAATTTGAAATTTGTAATATAGTAATTGATGTAGACTTATTCTAAGTTGAAATCTTGTAACATTTATGTTCAATATTGAAATATATGAAGGGACTTAATGCTTCCTGCGCTTGTAAGTCTATTTGGTTGGATTTATAAGCAATGTTTACTATCGAGGAGGCTTTATTAAGTTAAGAAACTAAAGTACTTAAAATGGAATTGAGTTAATGGATGTATTTCTCAATGTTTTAAGATATTTAGTTAACTCAATATTTAGATAGGACTAAATACTATTTAAAGGCCTTTTAAACTTAATGATTAAATAATGTTTAGGTTTTAAAAAAAGAAATAATGTCAGTGAGCTTAACTTTGAAAGAAAACTTCAGCTTTTCAGTGTGTCACGATGTCCATAGCTTCGCAAAGGAATGTTTTGTGCCATCTCCTGAATACGATTTTTCCTGTCTTCATTATAGCATTGAAAATCAAAGGTTAATTATTGCACTATTTACCACAAAATAATTCTAAGGGGTTATTGAGCAAGGCAAATATTAATAAATTGCAAAGCTTTGTTCTAAACTGGTTTCAATTTTTTTGAGACGGAGTCTTGCTCTGTCACCAGGCTGGAGTGCAGTGGCACGATGTTGGCTCACTACAACCTTTGCCTCCCGGGTTCAAGCAATTCTCTGTCTCAGCCTCCCAAGAAGCTGGGATCACAGGCACCCACCATCACGCCCAACTAATTTTTTTCTGTTTTTTGTAGAGATGGGGTTTCACCATCTTGGCTAGGTGGGTCTTGAACTCCTGGCCTCGTGATTCACCCACCTCGGCCTCCCAAATTGCGGGTATTACAGGCATGAGCCACCACACCCAGCTGTTTATCCTCAACTTTCAAAATATTTTAAAACTGTTTCCTTACCTGGGAAGTAAGGACCCCAAAAGCCTAAAAACATAACTGAATGCTGTGCAAAATAACCTACAGAAATAGAAGAGAGAGAATGGCAAGGTATACCTAAGGACAAGAGAGAAATTATTCAAAAAAGAAATAAAACAAATCAAATGAATGAAAGTACAACAAATGTTCAGATCCTTTCAAAATGTCATTAATTGTAGCAAGAAGGATCCTGGACAATTTAGCATTTCAAAATCCTAAAAAAGGACCTTTCTGAAAATCCATCAATGAGCTTGTAGGAAAGCCCACAGGAATCAAATTTATCTTTAGTTGTGCTTATATCGCCAAATCCAAATGATTCCTTTTTGTCCAGTGCAGGTCACAAAATTCAGCTTTTGATAGTTACTGTGTCAAGTAAATCTATGGTGAATAAGAAGAAAGAAGAGATCTCTGACATTTCTTTCCTCTGTGGTGCAGGCTGGAGTGCAGCAGCATGATTGATTATAGCTCAAATCGCTGGGTTCAAGAGATCCTCCCATTTCAGGCTCGTAGTAGCTGGGACTGTACTGGTGCATGCCACCATGCCAAGCTAATATTTTTAATGTTTACTTTTGTAGAGACAGGGTTTTATCAACAGTTTTTTGAGTCCTTTTGGCCAGTTGATAGCCTTGGTTATGATATTTTGTGGTTACGGCCTTTACCATCATTTGACACCAAGTCTGTAACATTTCCCTCCCATTTGAAAGAGTAGCTCATAATTTTTTTAAAAATGTGCATATCCCTCCTTGTATCAAATCATAGTCTCATTATTTCATTAAGAAAACTATAAATATATATTATAGGTCTTCCAAATTGTTATCACTTACACTGTTTTCATCTTTACCAGAGTGCTGGAGTAATAGAAAGAGAAGACGGGTTCTAAAAACGAGTCAACCAAAATACATCACGACAAATTTTAAGTGGCTTAAAAAAATTATTTTACTCTACTGATTCCGCAATGGTCTCAAACAGAAATAAACAAACCGATAAATTTCCAGTGCACATTCAAATTTGTGATGGAAAGCAGCAAGAGATTAGTCTCTTGCAATCTATCAAGCCGAATCATTAGCAATGCCTTTTACTAACAGCAATGTTTCCTGCTATTGCAAAATAATACTATCAACAAGGAGATGTGAGTTGTCCCCTTATGAGTTAAGCCCCTATGAGCTAAGCTCTTATAATTCAGTATGTAAACCATTCTCAGACACAAAAAACAACCTTTGTCATTAGATATTTGTAGTTGCTTTGTTCAGAGTGACTGTTCTCTAGATCAAGACATTTTTCTTGATATTGTGAGGAGCCTACTGGGTTCTCCTGACCATCTACATTACAGCAGAATCCCAAGACCTTAGACTCTAAGAAAAGATGTGATACTACATAAAGTTTCCTGAACCAAAGAATGACTCAAAGTACTAATCAATTTTGTCTGGTCATGAGGCAAACATATAAATGTAAACATGGTTAAAAAAAAATAGCCGGTGTCTGAGTAGGTCCATCTATTCAAGGGTGAATTTAAAGATGATCTTCAATATTTGTAAATATTTTTGAAGTCTATGTTAAAACTCAATAAAGTATATAACAAATTATATCAACAGGCAAACCAAGTTTTAACTTAAAACCTTTGCAATAATGTAAGAAGAATGAATGAAAAAGAGATTAGAAATAAAATAATAAACAACCAAATGATAATTTTGTAATTATTTTTTTTTTTTGACACGGAGTCTCACTCTGTCACCAGGCTGTAGTGCAGTGGTGTGATCTCTGCTCACTGCAACCTCCATCTCCCAGGTTCAAGTGATTCTCCTGCCTCACCCTCCCAAGTAGCTGGGACTACAGGCAGGCAACACCATGCCCAGCTAATTTTTTTGTATTTTTAGTAGAGACAGGGTTTCACCATGTTGGCCAGGATGGTCTCTGTCTCTTGATTTCATGATCCGCCTGCCTCAGCCTCCCAAGGTACTGGGATTACAGGTGTAAGCCACCATGCCCAGCCAATTTTGTAATTACTTTCTATTTAAGAAAGTCTTATAGACACTGAAAACTCCAGAGTAAAACAAATGTTTTTATTACATGAAATAATACACACCCAAGTTAAATATGCATTTATATGCATATTTATACAAATACATATATACATTTATGCATGTATAGAATATATACATAGTTTTGTGTGTGTGTGTATATATATATATATATATTACTTGCACATGTGTTTCTATTTTCTTCTTACCGTTTCTTATTAGTTAGCATGTTCTCTCTCAATGTAGAAGTTCCTACACAACTGCTATTGTCCTGATTTCAGTTTTCTTTCTCAAATACTCTATGAGACCTCTGATTTGCCGAGAGTAAGCTAGCCTCATACAAATTTTGAATATTCCCTTAAAAATGTGTATACATTAGATTTTCAGAGTTCATAAAGCCCTGAGTTTTAGCCTCATTCTGCTTTATTCCTTTTCATTTTGATGAGATCCTCCAAATGCTGTTAAGTAGAATGTGAGAAAGTATATAATAATGAAGACTTTTTCAAATTTACAAAACAGTCTTCTGCTCTAAATTGATTATGTTTAACATTACTTAATTATTACACTTAAATTTGAATTTTGTTTTAGATTAAACAACTTGCACCTGAAAAAAGTTCAGTGTCACCAATAACAAGTAGACAGCTAATACTAAGGTTAAAGTCCTGTGCTGGATGTGAAACATTACTTCAGGTTTGTGGAAAGACAATCCTGTTGTATTTAACCTTATGTCAATTGGTATATTTGAATAGGGCATTATGGTTGAGACAGAAGTCTTTTAGACTCCTTTTCCTACCTATTGACCTATCATAGTAAGAATTTTCTCATATCTAGTAAGGTACTTCTACTTCAGAAAAGCTTTCAATGCAATAACTATACCAGTAATAATTGCATGTTTCCAGGAAAATCAATTTCAGTAAGTATTTACCTAGGCAAAATCATTTAATATGCATAAATACTATAATTCCATATTCACTTTTACATCCTTGTGATAATTACAATAAATGGCTCTGGGACCAGGGTTTGACTTGGCTCTGTGGCAAAGCCCTTGGCTAAAATTGCAGAAGGACCTACAATGTAAGCTATATGATAGGAGGCACCAGCATGACTCCATATACAGTAAGTGCTCTATAAAAAAACTTTTTCTCAAATAGAAGGTACTTACTGGCTAAAGACAGTGGAAACTTGAGCTTTCCTATGATTATGAGAATTCTGATGAATTTTTGAGATAGATAAATTCCAAAAAAACTTTCCATCTCATCACAATGGTTTTTTAGCAATTTGCAAATTCTGCTGCAATTAACATAGAGACCTTTCAGATGAAATAGAAAGCCTGTCTCCATTGCCCACACATAATTGACATGTGCTGTTCTAGCTGCTCTAAAAGGAATATGTGCTTTGATCAGTTAAAACAGTTGATTCACTCTTTTAGATCAAGAACAAGCACATTAAAATCGAGAGAGAGAGAGAAAAAGAAAAACTCAGGCAGTAGTTAAGACCTTTGAATGTTACAACAATCAGCTCCACAGAATGGGATGTCAGGATAACAAATCTTTAATACAAAAATAATGCCTATTCTTTCGGTTTTATGTCAGTATTTCTCTTTAACAAATGTAAAAAGTTTTGTTCAATGATCCTACAGCAGAAACAATTCTATCAAAACAGAAAGTGATATAAAAACATGCACAATATAAATATGATTTTTGTCCTTTGTTGATAATACTATGTTACTTTTAATTATAAAGATAATAGGAATGATTGTGAATATTATTGTAAATAGCAATTACTATTACTGCAAACATTGTGATTTTTTTGTATTTTTTAGAATATATATGCATATATATACATACACGTATATATATTTTTCCCCAATTTATAACCAAACTGATATCAAAAACAAATTGAATAAAAAATTTTTAATTAATGATTCAATTAATTGCTTTCAACATCTTCATCATGAAATCTTTGCCTGTGCTTATGTTATGAATAACCTTGCCTAGGTTTTCTTCTGTGGTTTTCACAGTTTGGGGTTTTACACTTAGTACTTAATCTATCTTAAGTTGATTTTTATATATAGTGTAAGAAAGGGGTTGTTTTAATTTTCTGCATAAGGGTCTCCAGCTATCCCAGCAACATTTATTAAATAGGAAATCTTTTCCTCATTGCTTGTTTTTGTCAGGTTTGTTGAAGATCAGATAATTGGAGGTGTGCAGTCTTATTTCTGGGTTGTCTATTCTGTTCCACTGGTCTCCGTGTCTGTTCTTGTGCCAGTACCATGCTGTTTCAGTTACTGTAGCCCTGTAGTATAGTTTAAAGCCAGGTAGCATGATGCCTCCAGCTTTGTTTTTTTTTTTTTTTTTTTTTTTTTTTTTGCCTAGGATTGCCTTGGCTATTTGGGCTCTTTTTTTGGTTTCATATGAATTTTAAAATAGTTTTTTCTAGTTCTTTGAAGAATGTCAATGGTAGTTTAATTAAAATAGCATTGAATCTATAAATTGCTTTGGGCCATATGGCCATTTTAATGATATTGATTCTTCCTATTCATAAGCATGGAATGTTTGTCCATTTGTTTCTGTCATCTCTGATTTGTTTGATCAGGGGTTTTTAGTTCTCCTTGTAGAGATCCTTCACTTTCCCTATTAGCTCTATTCCTAGGTATGTTATTCTTTTCATGGCAATCATGAGTGGGAATTCATTCATGATTTTGCTCTCAGCTTGAGTATCATTGGTGTACAGGAAACCTAGCAATTTCTGTGCATTGACTTTGACAGATTAAATCTAATTAAACTAAAAAGTTTCCACATAGCTAAAGAAACTATCAACAGAGTTAACAGACAACCTACAGAATGGGAGAAAATTATTGCAATCTATGCATCTGAGAAAGGTCTAATATCCAGCATCTATAAGAAACTTAAATGAATTTAAGAAAATAACAAACAACTCCATTAAAAAGTGCACAAAAGACATGAGCAGACACTTCTCAGAAGAAGACTTACATGCAGCCAACGAGCATATGAAAAAAACTGAACATAACTGATCATTAGAGAAGTACAAATTAAAGCCACGATGAGGTACCATCTCACACCAGGCAGAATGGTTATTATTAAATGTCCAAAAAGTAACAGATGCTGGCAAAGTTGCGGAGAAAAAAGAACGTTTATACACAGTTGGTGGAAATGTAAATTAGTTCAACCATTGTGGAAGACAGTGTGGTGATTCCTCAAAGACCTGAAGACAGAAATACTATTTGATCCAGCAATCCTATTGCTGGGTATATTTCCAAGAAATATAAATCATTCTATTATAAAGACACATGCACCCCTATGTTCATTGCAGCATGAGTCACAAAACCAAAGACATGGAATCAACCTAAATGCCCAACAACGATAGACTGGATCAAGAAAATGTGGTACATATACACCACAGAATACTATGCAGCCATAAAAAATAATGAGATCCTGTCCTTTGCAGGGACATGGATGGAGCTGGAGGCCATTATCCTTAACAAACTAATACAGGGAGAGAGAAACAAATACAGCATGTTCTTATTTATAAATGGGATCTAAATGATGAGAACACATGGACATATGGAGGGGAACAACACACACAAGCCTACCAGAGGGCAGAGGGTAGAAGAAGGGAGAGGATCAGGAAAAATAATTAATGGATACTAGGCTTAATACCTGGATATTAACATAACCTGTACAACAAACCCCCATGACACACATTTATCTGTGCAAAAAACTGACACATCCTGCACATGTACCCTGAACTTAAAATAAAAGTTAAAAATATTATTTGTCTAAATTAGTTACTATTTGATATTTAATCAGATAACATTCTTCGGGTTTCAGAATGATTGTAACCTCCCACTATATTATATGTTATATTTGTTAGTGAGAAACTTGAAGTGTTTTGATTATTAACAGAAAAGGACTTGATCCAAGTTTTAAGTTAATGCCTGACCTCCTCGTGATCCATTTCTGCAAAGAATGCTGTGCGTGGTTGCAAATTGTTTTGCTAACTTTAAGAATTCAAATGCAGTCATCCAAATCCTTTAAGGTTAATTGTTATATTTTTCTCTTAGGTCATCATGTTTCTTCTTTCAGCACCTACCAGAAGTGCAATGTTATATTCCATGTGCATTATGACTGGATTAATGTCTTCTCTGACATCTAGTCAACATTAGGATGGTAAATACTATATTTCTAATGGTTACCCTTAGAGATAGCACATTGTCTGCAACATAGGAGGGAAACAATAAATATTTGTTGAATGAACAAAATGCAAATGAGAAAATTGGAGAGGCTTCACATATAAGGTAAGGCAAGTGTATATATTTTATTTTATTATTACTGG
This sequence comes from Homo sapiens, assembly GCF_000001405.40. Classification (NCBI taxonomy): domain Eukaryota; kingdom Metazoa; phylum Chordata; class Mammalia; order Primates; family Hominidae; genus Homo; species Homo sapiens. The sequence goes on along the minus strand of NC_000013.11, from coordinate 86,324,037 downwards.
AGAGGCTTGAACATGATTAACTGTTAATTGACTTATCATTCTGAGTTCTTAATAACAATGGAAAACACTTGTAATTTAAGGAATGAAATAATTTACTATATTAATATTTGAAGACCTCTATTTTTAGAAATATGAAAAACAAGATTTACTGAAACCATCTCTCCCACTACACTACAAATCTAGAAATGTCAGATAAAATGTTAGTGTAAATGGAGAGCTGCTATGACAAAGATGTGGAAAAACTTTGGGGCCAAATATATAAGTAACAGGACAAAATAATTTCCTTCCTGAAATAATAAAGCTTCCAATTGATCGATAGTCTAATTATGTATTTAGCTTAAACCTAACAGATTGTTTTAAAAATATTCTAACTCAGGAAAACTTACTAATTTCTCAAAGTCTCCCAAATAAAGTATATGCCAAATGTTTTTTAAATATTGTATTGTTATTGCTATGAAGTGAAATAACAGAAACATGCTCAAGTAATGGTGTTACTCCAAAATCAAATTTCCACATTTTTCTTTTCTTTTTTTTCTTATTATACTTTAAGTTTTAGGGTACATGTGCATAACGTGCAGGTTAGTTACATATGTATACATACATGTGCCATGTTGGCGTGCTGCATCCATTACATTGTCATTTACATTAGGTATATCTCCTAATGCTATCCCCCCACCTTCCCCGACCCCACAACAGGCCCCGGGGTGTGATGTTCCCCTTCCTGTGTCCAAGTGTTCTCATTGTTCAATTCCCACCTGTGAGTGAGAACATGCGGTGTTTGTTTTTTTTGTCCTTGCGATAGTTTGCTGAGAATGATGGTTTCCAGCTTCATCCATGTCCCTGCAAAGGACATGAACTCATCATTTTTTATGGCTGCATAGTATTCCATGGTGTATATGTGCCACATTTTCTTAATCCAGTCTATCATTGTTGGATATTTGGGTTGGTTCCAAGTCTTTGCTGTTGTGAATAGTGCAGCAATAAACATACGTGTGCATGTGTCTTTATAGCAACATGATTTATAATCCTTTGGGTACATACACAGTAATGGGATGGCTGGGTCAAATGGTATTTCTAGTTCTAGATCCCTGAGGAGTCGCTATAGTGACTTCCACAAGGGTTGAACTAGCTTACAGTCCCACTAACAGTGTAAAAGTGTTCCTATTTCTCCACATCCTCTCCAGCACCTGTTGTTTCCCGACTTTTTAATGATCGCCATTCTAACTGGTGTGAGATGGTATCTCATTGTGGTTTTGATTTGCATTTCTCTGATGGCCAGCGATGATGAGCATTTTTTCATGTGTCTTTTGGCTGCATAAATGTCTTCTTTTGAGAAGTGTCTATTCATGTCCTTTGCCCACTTGTTGATGGGGTTGTTTATTTTTTCTTGTGCTCATGGATAGGAAGAATCAATATCGTTGAAATGGCCATACTGCCCAAGGTAATTTATAGATTCAATGCCATCCTCATCAAGCTACCAATGACTTTCTTCACAGAATTGGAAAAAACTACTTTAAAGATCATATGGAGCCAAAAAAGAGCCCACATTGCCGAGCCAATCCTAAGCCAAAAGAACAAAGCTGGAGGCGTCGTGCTACCTGACTTCAAACTGTACTACAAGGCTACAGTAACCAAAACAGCATGGTACTGGTACCAAAACAGACATATAGACCAATGGAACAGAACAGAGCCCTCAGAAATAATGCCACACATCTACAATTATCTGATCTTTGACAAACCTGACAAAAACAAGAAATGAGGAAAGGATTCCCTATTTAATACATGGTGCTGGGAAAACTACCTAGCCATATGAAGAAAGCTGAAACTGGATCCCTTCCTTACACCTTATACAACAATTAATTCAAGATGGATTAAAGACTTAAATGTTAGACATAAAACCATAAAAACCCTGGAAGAAAACCTAGGCAATACCATTCGGGACATAGGCATGGGCAAGGACTTCATGTCTAAAACACCAAAAACAATGGCAACAAAAGCCAGAATGGACAAATGGGATCTAATTAAACTAAAGAGCTTCTGCACAGCAAAAGAAACTACCATCAGAGTGAACAGGCAACCTACAGAATGGGAGAAAAAATTTTTGCAAGCTACTTATCTGACAAAGGGCTAATATCCAGAATCTACAAAGAACTCAAATATCTACATTTTTCTCCCTAAAAATACAAAAAATAAAACCGAAAACCTCACAACAAACAAATAACCTTGTACATGGCTTTGTAATGCAAAATATTTTTTAATTCCTTTAAAAATATATAAATAAAATATATGAAATAACATTGACTTTCCCATCATAGAATCTTCAGGAATACACATACCTTCAGCATCTAATATTTCAGCTATGACAAAATAACAAGAAAAGGACAATACAGGCACGAGCTTTGAACACTGCTGTAAAGACTCACTGTTAATTCACATAAATGTGATTGCCATTTTATACATTTTATCAAAAACAACTTTAGTGTGAAAGTCCAATTACTAAAAAATCTTTAGGCAAGTTCTAGTATTCACATACCACAGGATTCCAATGGTTCAACTTTTCAATAGTCAATGAATTAGGCCAATAATTAGAATAAAATGTATGCATAGCATGTTTATAATAATTTTTTACCCAAATAGTTCAAATATAACATGTTCTGAAGATCAATCTTTTGAAATAATATGATACATTATTTTTCTGTTTTTCTCCTTCTGGAAAGCCTCAATTGTCTTTGTCATTATAGATAGAACCAATAAAATTTACCAGAGAAGTAAAGTTTGCCAAATTCACATTGTGTCATGTATCCCAGAAACAACCAGTGACTATAACCCAGAGAAAAGTGTTCCAGTAAAGAATTCATCTTACATTAGCAGGCACACAATTTTGAAAGCACAACAAAGTTTGCCTATCTTCTCATACTCTAGTATTATTATTATTATTTCTCCTAAATTTTATACATCTTCCTAAATCTATTTGATTATAAGTTTATAAGATTTCTTTCATTTGTAATTGTTAATTTGATATTCATGCTTATTACAACAGGAGTTTGACAGATGCCAATAGATGCAGTTGAAAGAATTCAACTTCCAAATTCAATTTTCTCAGGATGAATAAGATTTTCATGATGATAATTTTATATACAGACCTATGGGTTTCTTGGTTTGCTCAAGTTCCTCATAGATCTCTACCAGAGTAACAATTTTGCCAAGTGGGAGCTCCCTTCAAATTTCATGAACAGCTTTTTTATTTCTGCTTGGAATCCCTTCTTTCTGACAGTTTTGGATATACTAGCTATGTTCAGTGTACTCATCAGTACCAGCTACTTATAAACATTAGCTGAGTGCTGCAATACCAGCTCGATAAGGCAAAGATCATATCCTAAGTATATTTTTCAGAAGACCCAGATTTCGTAACTGTTGGGTGTTCACTCCTACAACTATGAATAGGTTTTCTTGTTTTATTCACAACTGAAGACTACTTTCTTCAGATTTCCCTTTTACTTCATTGATTAAAGTGTATTACTCAGGTCTATCTTCAGAAGTTATTACCCCATGGTCTGTGATGAGAATTTACAGACCAGCTGATTTCTAAATCTGTTACTAAATGTGCTCTTATGTTTAAATTGTTATATTGAAGCATCTCATTTTTTGTAACCTTTTCTGCTACCTAGTTTAGCACTTCATGTTTGGACTTGTTTTTCAAGGATGTTCTGTTAGTTTTTATGGCTGTCCATTTATTTGGTTAGGAGTTTACCATCCAAAGAAACGTAATTATTTATTTATTTATTTTTAGAGATGGAGTCTCGCTCTGTCACCCAGACTGGAGTGTAGTGGCATGATCTCGGCTCACTGCAACCACTTCCGCTTGGGTTCAGGCCATTCTTCTGCCTCAGCCTCCCAAGTAGCTGGGACTACAGGCATGCACCACCATGCACAGCTAATTTTTGTGTTTTTAGTAGAGACGGGGGTTTCACCATGTTGGCCAGGCTGGCCTAAAACTCCTGACCTCAAGTGATCCCACCCACCTCGGCCTCCCAAAGTGCTGGGATTACAGGGGTGAGCCACCACGCCCGGTCAGAAACATTATTTTTAATATGAAGGTGCCAAGTATTTTTCAGTAGATCCTATAAGTTTTAAAGTAATTGTAGAAATGAGAAAAAGTGTGAAAATATATAGTTATGTCCATCCAAACAGAAGATTTTCTAGAAATTATCTATCAAAGGCCAATAATTAAAGTCAGGTCAAAATGGTAAATCTATTCATTTGTTTTAGATAAATGTACTAGACTGACAGCATTCTATAACCAACTTTTTTCTTATGTTTTGCTTACCAAGAAATCTTATGATCATAATATAATTCATCCAGTTATTTGCCTCCAGAGAAACCATGGTTGATTGGTAGATATGCATATATAACCTCCAATGAAATTATATTACTTATTTTAAAAATATTGAGAAGTCACATATTGCTATTGACTTCATATAAATGGAAAAAAACCTGGGCCTTTGAGAACATAAATGACTAACCTAAGCTTATGAAACTACTAACCAACAGTTCTAGAGCTTGAACTAAAGTCTTTGGGGCAGCTGGGCACAGTAGCTCATGCCTGTAATTCTAGCACTTTGGGAGGCCAAGGTGGGCAGATCACACGAGGCCAGGAGTTAGAGACCAGCCTGGCCAACATGGCATAACGCTGTCTCTACTAAAAATACAAAAATATAAAATAAAAAAGTTTTACTTCCAATAGTGAGAATATAATGCTTCAAAAAAACATTATTTTTATTACATATAGAAAAAAATTATTTTCATTCCAGAGGCATTCTCATTAATTTCAAAGAATCTGGGATTTCAGTACTTGCTCTTGCTCTACTAGCTAGGTAACATTGGACAAGCTCATTATCATCGTACTTTCTCAATCCCCTTATTTGGTTATAGCACACATTATTTTTCTCATCTATAAGGTGGAGTTATGAGCATACAAATAAATTAACTGAAAATCTTCAAATGTACAAATTTTTAAAATAACTCCTCATGGCTAAGAAGACCAATTCTGATACAAACTAAGCAAATTTATGTAAAAGACAAGACGTAAGGTAATTTGAAAGAGTAATAGCCAGAAAATTTTGAAAGATATGGAAAAATTTAGAATCTAGTCATATATTATGATGTAGAAACCTTTCAGTTTTTCACCTCCTATAATGAGACAGGGTTATGCCAGCTGCCCCATAATGTGCTAATTAGTGGAAATTCCAAAAAATAAGCCTGAAATACCAAGGCATAATCATGACACATACATTATTTTCCACACTTAAATTTCATTCAATGTAATCATCCTTCCATACAGTACTTAGGTCCTATTTTCTCTGTGACATTTTTGTGACTATAATAAATCTTCCTCTGACAACCTTTCGTCTTTATTGTGCTAACAAATCATTTGCCATTTATTTTATTCACAGTGATCGATGAAAGCTCCTCAATCCTGTTTGCCGGGATTTACTACCCATTCTTACTAACCTCCATAGCTCCTTTTTCTTTTTCAATAATCCTGTCCTTTAGACTACAATGTTTTCCCTTATCTGCTAACCTGGTCAGGTTTTTTTGTTTTGTTTTGTTTTGTTTTGTTTTTTTGAAACGAAGTCTCACTCTGTTGCTCACTGCAACCTCCACCTCCTGGTGGAGGTTCAAGCAATTCTCCTGCCTCAGCCTCCTGAGTAGCTGGGACTACAGGCACACACCACCATGCCCAGCTAATTTTTTGTATTTTAGTAAAGACAGGGTTTCACTGTGTTGCCCAGGCTGGTCTCAAATTCTTGAGCTCAGGCAATCCACCCCACTGGGCCTCCCAAAGTGCTGGGATTACAGGCGTGAGCCACTGCTCCTGGCCCCTGGTCAATTTTTTAAAAAGCTAGATACTTGCTGACACTTCTTGTACAGTTTCTTCTTATCTACATCTTATTTTTATCTTTAATTTTCTAATGAAAGGGAATATGTCAGAAATTTTATGGTTAAAAGATTGGAAAATAGCAAGAGGGGCCTGTAGTCCAAATTATGTCCTGTACTTCTTACTAATAGGTCAGATTCCTCTGTGAATATGCTTTAATAACAATATTTTAAATTAGCTACTAGGGGCAAAAGAGGAATCCAAGCAAGATAAAAACTGTCTTGTTATCTTAGATATTTAAATGCACATATTTCACTATATAAAATACATTTTTCAGTGGAGCCAGGGAAAGATTTTGAATGAACATTCATAATGAGAATGAAGGAAAGATAATTCAGAAAACATGATATAATAAAAAACAACTGTTTAGATTGAATTGTATTTTAGAACCAGTAAGAGGGATATAGATGGCAACATATTTCATGCCAGACATTGAACATTTATCCATCTGACTTTTTATTTTCATTTTTTTTGCTTTGTTTGTTTTGGTTTGGTTTGTTTGTTTGTTGGTTTGTTTTGTCTCTAGGGACCCTCATTTCAATCCCATTCCTTGATCACAAAATAGAATGTTTAACTTGACAATGTTCCACCTTTGATATAAGTTGAAGACTTGTCTTCTTTAAGGACAGCCTCTTATTGTTTCCAATTATTTGGTGAGTTATGTCTAATGCAAATGTCCATGAGTTTCGCTGGAACTCAAGTACTGCTCTTGCTACTTTTTTTTGTCTCCTTAAAAACTTCTGCCCTCCCTTCCTTGAACGCAGCTAAGCCCTCAGAGGCTATTTACTTCAACCACTTTTATGCACACATTTTATTTTTCTTTGCAAAATTATTATTTTTGTCATATCTGCCTGGAAATACCTGATGCTGTGCTGAAACCTAAGCTGATAGGTAATGTTACCACTAGGGAAAGTATCCAAGGCATGCAGCACCAAAGTGTTTTAGCAATGGCAAATCTGTATGGGTCTGCAGAAACCTCAATTCTTGTCTCCTCAATAGAAAGAATTTGACTGAGGGGCATAAAATAGAGTGAGAAACTGAGGTAAGTTTTAGAGCAGGAGTGAAAATTTGTTAAAAAGTTTTAGATTAGGAACAAAAGGAAGTACATTTGGAAGAGTGCCAGGCAGTCGACGAGAGATTCAAGTGCATGGTTTGAGTTTTGACTTAGGGTTTTAGATGTTGGCATGCTTCCAGGCTCTTGCATTACTTCTCCCAGTTGTTCCCTTGGGGTGGGCTTTCCACCATGCAGGTGGCCTGCCAGCACTTTGCAGGGGCTGTATGCGCAGTGTGTACACTGAAGTTGTACACATACTCATTTGCGTTTTTCCCTTACTAGTCGAATGTTCCTAGAAGGTCATATACCAGTTAAACTCCTGCATATGCTGCAGCCCACTTGCCCACCTCCTGAGACCTTATCGGGAACGTGTTGATTACCAGTTTCAGGTGTTCTCTTTCTATTGGACTCTGCCTTTCCTTGGAACTGGCTGTGACAAATTATTATTTTAGAGAGACAGTTTAATCACTGCCTGATCATCACCTGGTGATGGCCTGACATTCCTGGGGGGAGGTTGGTTCTCCCGCCCTGCTCACCTGCCTCCTGTCTGACTAGGTACCTAGTGTAACAGTACTACTGAAGAAAGCCTAGTAATATGTGCTACCATAAAGTCAGGGTTACTCCATATCTGATCCTTAATAATATCTGATAGCTCTTTTGTAATATGTGTGTTTGTTTGCAATCTTACATCCAGAAACGAGTATTTCAAGCAGCTTCCACTCCTAAAATTCCTTGAATTTTATTTTTCTTGATCATCTCACTGCAAGCAAGTTTGGTCATACTATAGTCAAAGCTTTCATATACAAATGTAACAATCTTTTCCCTAACTGGTGTAACAATATTAGCTCTGTTATGTTGCTACTCTTCATAGAACTTAAATATCCACTCCAAAGTTCATAAATTGCCCTGGAGATAAAATAATTTTTAAAATTAAATGATTTAAATAACCATTCAAGATCCGAAGTTTTTCTGCATCTGGACATGTATGCCATATATATTATCTCCATTTCTAATATCCCAGTTGAAATATAATTCTCAAAGATATGTTGTCCGGGCATGGTGGCTCATGCCTATAATCCCAGGACTTTGGGAGGCCGAGGCAGGTGGATCACCTGAGGTCAGGAGTTCGAGACCAGCCTAAACAACATGGTGAAACCCTGTCTCTACTAAAAATACAAAGTCAGCTGGGCATGGTGGCACATGCCTGTAATCCCAGCTACTTGGGAGACTGAGGCAGGAGAATCGCTTGAACCTTGGAGGCGGAGGTTGCAGTGAGCAGAGATGGAGTCATTGCACTCCAGCCTGGGCAACAAGAGTGAAATTCTGTCTCAAAAAAAAAAAAGAAAGAAAGAAAGAAAGAAAGAAGATATGTCTTCCTTGCTTTATCTGTTTTACTCTCTGTTTATATTTTGTTACTCTGTTTTTAGTTGTAAACACATTTTCAATATTTTTCTTTTTCTCTGGCCTTCAAATTCCAAAACAACATGGTTGACATCACTTTAACTTTTGGTTACATACCATGCATCTTTTATAGTAGATGTGGTAGACAATATAATGCCTCTCCAAACATATCCACATCCTAATCTCCAAAATCTGTCAATATTATCTTACATGGCCAAGGAATTATGCAGAATTTTGAAAGTAGTTATTATCCTGGATTATGTGGATAACCAACGTAATCAGAAGGGTACTTTTCAAAAAGAGAAAGTTATGAAATCAGAATCAGAGAAGAAAATTTGAAAATGGAAACAGTGGTCATTTGCTAATGCAGTAAGGGGACCACTATCTAAAAACTGGAAGAGGCAAAGAATGGATTCCCTCTAACAGACTCCGGAAAGAAACACAGCCCTCTCCACTCCTTGATTTTAGCCTGGTAAAACCCATTCTGAGCATTTGATGTCCAAGATTTTGTTTTAATAGCATATATCTGTGTTGCTTTCAGCCATTAATTTTCCAGTTATTTTTTATAGCAACTATAGAAAATTAATACAATAGGTGTCCAATTAATAGCTGTTAAATGAAAGATTGATTCTGTAGATCTAGTTTAGCATATCTGAGGACAAACAACTATTAATTACAAGGCTAAGAAATTCCAAAGAGGAAAAACCATTGACTATACAAAGTAATTTCAATTCAAATTTTTGTAGTATTTCCATCTGTTTTAAGAATATTTTTCTGGCTGGGAGCAGTGGCTCACGCCTATAATCCCAGCACTTTGGGAGGCCAAGGCAGGTGGATCACTTGAGGTCAGGAGCTTAAGACCAGCCTGGCCACCAAGGTGAGATCTCGTCTTTACTAAAAATACAAAACTTAGCTGGGCATGGTGGCGCCTGCCTGTAATCCCAGCTACTGGGGAGGCTGAGGCAGGAGAATCACTTAAAACCCGGAAGGCAGAAGTTGCAATGAGCTGAGACTGTGCTACTGCACTTCAGCCTGGGTGAAAGAGCGAGATTCCATCTCAAAAAAAAAAAAAAAAAAAAAAAAAAAAAAAAATATATATATATATATATATATATATATATTTATTTTTCACAGAATTATTAAATTATTAAAATATATATATTTCACAGAATTATTTTTGACAGTGCACAGAAATCAATATTTCAGAACAGTTGTTATTTAATACACATACTTGAAGTATTCGGAAGTTTTATGTAAAAATTAATAAAACATTAAATCATCATTTTTGTTAATAATTTATTAGATCCTAATGTTACTCCAATTTTTCTTACAATAAACACAATACCAATGACAACATTAAATTTACTTTAAAATTTAGAAATGTATTATATATTTACTATAATTACAAATACCTAAAATTATTGAGTTTTGATTCATTTACCATGAAAACCTGACAAAATTGCTAAAACTTAAACAGTAGAATCATAAAAAGAAGCATCACTCAGGAAAGAAGAGAAATATAAATTAATATATATGTTTATAAACATGAACTAATTTGATTTGCTGGGTTGGGAAATGTATATTAACAGTCTTTAATCTACTCTAAACTAACATTTTCTAAAGTAAAACATTATAACATTAGTTGTAAATCCTGCATCACTGAAAAATATTTGTTTTCCTTTGACTTCACTTTTTTAGCTCATGTAATAAATGTTGCTCCTAAGAAAATGCCTCCAGTTTGGAGAGAAACCCACATTATCATTATGGATTTTAATTCAATAAAATTATGTAATAAATTTTAAGCTTTCATACTAAAAGAGCTGCTTTTCTTCATTTTGAATGAATTTTGAGCTCTCCCTTTAATATCTTGCAGTTCTTTCCTAGTTTAATGTAAGTTTTCAAGGGGGAGAGATAGCATGATGTATTTTCATTTAATTAGTCATATGCCTATCTTGAGAATAGCTATGTTCAATCTGTTTCAGAATATATTTAGGTTATATTTCTGTAAGAAGAGCTATGTAGCAGATGTCACTGTAGTTCAGATCTTGGATTTAAACTGTGTGCTTTCTGGTTGTCACTGGTGTCTAAAGAGCGTGAATGTGTCAAAAGATAGACCCAAAAGAATAAGACTATATGGTTTTGAAAGTCTAATCTATAGGCAGCACATTTGCAATAATGAATGGTGTCTAATTATGTCTTCTATTACCATAGGTTGAAAGCAGTAAGGACAATTTCTTTACTCGGCAATCATTCAAATACAATAACCTGCCCAAATTAGGCTCACCAATATTCACTGTTGTCACATGAATTCAATTATTGATAGGAATTGTAAAAATGAAATGATAAATATGCAATCATGCTAAGTTGAGTTATATCTATTCAATCTTCATTTTTCAGACTGACATGGAACTGTTAAAATTTCCTAGTGATAAACAAATAATAGTGCTCTAATATTATAAAAGTGCTCCTCATCTAAGTGTGAAAAATGTTTGTGATTTCTTTAAATAGCTGTTGAGAACAATGACAGGTTTTAAAGAATATTGTTAACAGAACTTCAAGATCCTTGCATATATTCTTTGATATAAATAAAAATGGTGATGACAAGTTATCTGGGAAGGGCAAAGTAAAATATGTAGGCATTATGCTCTCTGATATAAACCCACAGTGTGTTTAGTCCTAGGATCTTGAAGGAGAGAAATTAAATCAAAACATTTCATTCAAATGATCATTGTTATTTTAGAGATTACATTTTTTTAGCCTCCATAATTTCTCACTTTCAAATGGGGCTAAAATATCTTTTGTAAACCTCTCTAAACTCTGTATAATCAAGAATCCTGAAAAAGATTAAGAGAGATATAGCTTATGATTAATCCTGGCTCCTCTCTTTTGTCAAACAAGGCATTTTAGTATAAATACGTTATCATGAAGGAAACCATTTTCATCTTTTTGTAAGTTATGAAAACCGCTCTTTGTGGAGAGTGAATGATAAAGCATGTAATTGCCTATTACCTGATAATTGTGCTAATAAATATAGAAAGAAAATATCTTAACTTTCTTATTTAAATCTAGAAGGTTAAAAGTAGAGTAATGAATCATGCTGAGATTCATGAGAATTTTCTGAATCATTCAATCACAAGGGAGGTACAGAAACATTTGGCAGATAACTCAAAATGAAAAACTGTGAGAAGTTACTATGAATTTCAAAAGGACAAAACAATGAACAAAGAGTAAATCTCCCCCACTCCAGCCATATTATCTCCATGCTTTAAGAACAGTGCTACAAATTAGTAAAAGTTTTATTGATTTGTATTATTTATCTGAATAATTAGAAGTTTCAAGAATAAAACCTTTTTATGTTTGCCACAGAAATAATGTAGTCTAAATTTATAGTTATATTTTATTTACATTCTCTTCAGTGTAGAATAAAAATTAAGCCAAGTAGCCCCTTAAGCCAATTAGCTTCCAGTACAACAAAATGAATGGAAGACTAGTAGTGTGTGTGCATGTGTGTGTGTGTAACTGAGATATCTCAACTTTCAGAGTATAAACAAGAAGACATCTACTATAAAAATAAATAAATATATGTACCATATATGTCTACATATTTAATTGAGATACCTCAAGTTTGAGACTATAAACAAGAAAAAATCTTTATTTATTTTTCAAAAATTGCCATGTTATGATGCATATATTTAGTTTGGCCCTGAATAGAGAGTCTATTAACTACCTTTATTCTAGATTCCGTATTTTTTCTATTGCTTTATGCAATTCACATACTGTTATTTGGGTTTTAAAATTTCAAGATTTATATCTGATTCACCTCTTATTCCCCTTCTTAGTGAAGACTAGAGGTACAAATAGGAGTCTAAGAAAAAGATGCAGCTATGGTCTGGCTCTCAAAAAAAAAATGGCCTTTTATAAAGTGATAGGGTTAGGGGAGGAGATGGGAAAATATAAAAGTCCTTTTTACAAGGCTAGAAGAGGTTGCAGTCTGAGCTGAGACTGTATCTCTGACTAATGATACAGTAGTACAATGACCTGACTTGTAGGAAACCCAAAGGCTGCCTCTCTGTGGGGTGCATAGAACATACATTTTAACACTCTGTTGGACCATCCCATTGTTCATTTCTGTAATGTGCTCTTACTCTACCTTGCCCAGGTCCAGTCCTCTTCTGCCAGAAGCACTCTCTATATTTTGCTGAACATGAAGACTTCTGGGAAAGAGGATATAATAGCAAGGCTTCTTATTCTTACTACATTCCAATACATTTATTTTTCTATGCACGACACGTCATCAGGTAAGAAAACAGGTTGCAATCACTTGGTTGCCTTTTTATTTGTTTACTTACATTCCAGCAGCATTAAAGCTTCTGAGGGCTGACAGATTTCCCAAATTTCTCTAATGAAATGCCACTGGTTTCTATGTAAAAGACAGACGGTATATGGTTCTCAAAGTCCTTTTTCCTTCATAAACACAACTTTACAAATACCTGCTGTGGCAGCTAAGCAACTTACTCTATGGTAGTCAGATATCTATCCCTTAGATTATCTATTTCATATAAATGACAGGGGAACAATAGGGTTGCTGGAGAGATGTTATAAAATGGCCACCTTTAAATAAACCCAACAGACATTAAAGCTGGCATTTGTATGAATTTAGAAGGTAGTATATTTATTTAGGGATTTTCATAATCTGATTTATTTGATTGTTCACAACGGTTTCAACTCAAAAGAGAAAGTGTTGTTTAATAACTTATATTTGACAAAGAATGTTAACGGATGGGATAAGATAAATTTGGTGAGTTAATACATTAATTTTGGCACGGAAGATTTCTTTGCCATAGCCCAGAAATGTTAATATTGCAATTAGAGTTGTAACTTTGGAAAACCATGAGGTATGCCCTTTCTAAAAGGAGATTTATTTTTGCTATACCAGCTTTACACATTATCTTTACTGTAAGAAGCTTAAATGCATATCTTCTGTCTTATTTCAAAATTCAGTTCTAGATTTGTTATGGGACATTTTGAAATATTTAACAATGTGAACATTGACATCTTAAGAATTTCAGTTTATGGATAACTAGATTATTTCTCTTCCATTTCTGCCTAGAGTGTTATCTCAGGATACATTTCTAGAAACTTTTATTTAGAACATTTCATCTTTTTTTTTTGCATTTACTTTTACCCCAATAAGAAAATATAATAAACATTAGGATTCCTTTTTGCCACCAGCTGTATTCCTGATGATCTAAAAGTAGTATATCTGCAGCCATATATACCTGCTGAGACAGACTATAATTAAGAGCCTTTCTTCCCTCAAGTTTGCCAGTTCTGCTCCACTCACTAACAATTCAGGTTCAGGTGTGGAAAAAAAAAAAAAAAGATGTTAGGATGTGATGATTCATTGTTATCAATTTATGTCATAACTACATCAATGTAAAACTCCCCTTTTTGCTGTAGACTATTTGTTATTTCGCATCAAAGAGATAAATTTGTCTAAGAAGTAAAGGCAATAAAGAGCTGTAGTTAGTTTCACAAGATTAATATATCTGCCACAGCATATTTCAAGTTCAACTGGGTAGGGAAGCAATTAAAAGCATTAATTTGTATATGATCAGATTTCAGAGTGATAAATCAAAAGATGGCAGATTTAGAGCATCTTTCATTTTTGTTCTATGCATGATTTCATTTAGAGGCCTACTACTATAAATAATACTTATGGAAATATTCAGTATTTTCTTTAAGATAGAGATTTATTTTCTAGATTCACATAAACACACTGCAATATTTGCTTTCAAGTAATACATTTTAGTCCTCTAACAGACACTAAATTGACATCACCTTCCCTTTTTTTCCTTTTGTGGTTGTACTTTTTCAAAATATACAAAATAGGTTTATTTTATGTAGTTTATTTTTACATAAACATAAATTCAAATTATTTCTGCCTATTGACGTGAATTAATTTCTGATGGAAGAATGGAAGAATGAACGGGGAGTCAATTTTAAAAATCTATACAGTTCACTCCATTTCTGTCAGTAAATTTTAGCATTAATATTTCTTTATATTTCAATGTATCATTGATATCTTTAACTTTTTGTTGTACTTGGTTTATTTATCTTCATTTCTATTCAATGTCACTTCCTAATCCTTTTATATTCTCTCCAATCTCACCACATTATTTTATCCCCTGTTTAAATTAACTATACCTTTATATTTATTTATTTATTTATTTATTTATTTTTAATGTTTTTTTTTTTTTTTTTTTTTTTTTTCTGGCTCTGTTGCCCAGGCTGGAGTGCAGTGGCACGATCTCGGCTCACTGCAAGCTCTGCCTCCCAGGTTCACGCCATTCTCCTGCCTCAACCTCCTGAGTAGCTGAGCCTAAAGACGCCCACCACCACATCCAGCTAATTTTTTGTATTTTTAGTAGAGACGGCGTTTCACCGTGTTAGCCAGGATGGTCTTGTTCTCCTGAACTCGTGATCCTCCCGCCTCGGCCTCCCAAAGTGCTGGGATTACAGGCATGAGCCACCGCACCCGGCCTACATTTATATTTATAATTTCATTGCATTAACTGAAATGTCAGTATTATTTATTACATATTTATTGCACTTAACAAAATATAGTTATCTAATGGTTCCTAAAATGTTACATTAATAAAATGAATTAAATTTCGGTCTAATGGCCATTACCTCCTTTCAAAATAATACTAACTTCACAGCTTGAGCCCTTTATTTGTTCACACCCATTTGAAGCAGAATTCAAGAAGGAGGAAGTGGGCTCAGGGCCTAGGCTGAAATTGATTTATTTTAGCCTTGATCTATGATCTTTGTAACCTTTTACTGAAGAGTTAATTATAAAAATTAAGCTAAAAGCACTCTAAACTCAAGTAAGAAATTAATGCATTTTATAAAATATTTGCTATCCACAGCTTGTTTTTTTTTCTTTTTTCTTTTTTTTTTCAGACAGAGTATCACTCTGCCGCCCAGGCTTAAGTGCAGTGTCACCTTCTTGGCTCACTGGCAAGCTCCGCCTCCTGGATTCAAGCCATTCTCCTGCCTCAGCCTCCCCAGTAGCTGGGATCACAGGCATGCACCACCACACCCAGCTAATTTTTGTATTTTTAATAGAGACGAGGTTTCACCATGTTGGACAGGTTTGTCTTAAACTCCTGACCTCAGGTGATCCACCCCCCTCAGTCTCCCAAAATGCTGGGATTACAGGTATGAGCCACCGAGCCCAGCCACAGTTTTTTTTTTTTTTTTTTAAGAAAAAAAAAAAAAAAAAAACAAGAGGCAGGCAAACTGACTAGGAACTATGTAATGGGGCACTTCTGGAAATTTCAATTTATGTAATTTGTTACAGATTTTGAATCTATATGAAAATTGGCCATTACATGTCAAATTATGTAAGGGTACATAATTTGAAAATGGTGTGTTTTCTTCAAGAAGTAGGTCTTGTGAAAGATTGTCATTTATTTATTTTGTAAATGTACTCTGTATTACTCAGGATTATCCAGAGAAACATTGCTTTTAAGGAACTGGCCCACAAAATTGAGGGGGCTGGCAAATCCAAAATCTTTACGGCAAGTTGGCAGGCTGGAAATTCAGGTAAGTGTGGATGTCACGTCCTGATCCATAATCCACAGTGCAGGGCAGGCCAGCTGTAAATTCAAGTATGGCTTTCGTGGTTCAGTCTTGAGACCAAAGTCGTTCTTCAGGAAATCTGTCTTTGCTCTTGAGAACTTCAGTTGATTGGATGATGCCTACCCACATTATGAAGGGTAATCTGCTTTATGCAAAGTCAGTTGAGTTCAATATTAACTGCATTTAAACATATCTTCATAGTAACATATAGACTACTGTTTGACCAACTGGGTACCATGGGTTGCCAAATTCACACATAAAATAAACAACCACAAGTCCTTGTCATTATCTTTGGTGATTCCTCCATGCATCTGTTGAGCAGTTTAGTTTTGAAACCGTCATGTCATATATTTCTTAAAATTATCATTACAACTCTGGATCTTGTTTTAAATGTGTCTACACTCTCATAGTATCAATTTCAGAAGAAAAGCAAGGTCCTCCCATCAAAGTCTCTAAGATCCCATTCAGGTAATCCTGCATTGCTTTCCTGTTTGACATTCTTATATCCCTAGCAGGGCTTTTTGATAGGCCTTTTCCAAATTCATCTAGAGTCTAAAGTCTCATCCACAGATTAGACCCCTTTATCATGTTGTTAGACATTTTGATTTTATAGTCTCTGACCCTGACCCACTAAATACACACATTTATTAACACTCAAGCCCTTAATTGAACATTTCATCAGAGACTCTCTAGATGTAAGAGTTTCTGCTTCAATAACTAGGAATGTTATGTTACAGTTCTCTTGCCATGGAAGCCAGCAGAATTCATCTATGTGGAAAAAACTGATGAATTATTTAAGCTGAAAAATTTGACATTTAAATTATATATTTTTAAATGCAAATCAAAACCACAATGAGATACCATCTCATGCCAGTTAGAATGACGATTATTTAAAAAGTCAGGAAACAACATGCTGGCAAGGCTGTGGAGAAATAGGAGCACTTTTACACTGTTGGTGGGAGTGTAAATTAGTTCAACCATTTTGGAAGGACCGTGTGGTGATTCCTGAAGGATCCAGAATCAGAAATACCATTTGACCCAGCAATCCCATTACTGGGTATATACCCAAAGGCTTATAAATCATTCTGCTATAAAGACACATGCACACATATGTTTATTGCAGCACTATTTACAATAGCAGAGACTTGGAACCAACCCAAATGCCCATCAATGATAGACTGGATAAAGAAAATGTGGCACATATACACCATGGAATACTATGGAGCCATAAAAAAGAATGAGTTCATGTCCTTTGCAGGGACATGGATGAAGCTGGAAACCATCATTCTCAGCAAACTAACACAGGAACAGAAAACTAAACACCGTGTGTTCTCACTCATAAGTGGGAGTTGAACTATGAGAACACATGGACACAGGGAAGGGAACAACACATACCGGGGCCTGTCAGGGGGTGGGGGATAAGGGGAGGGAGAGCATTAGGACAAATATCTAATGCATGTGGGGCTTAACACCTAGATGACAGGTTGATAGGTGCAGCAAACCACCATGACGTATGCATACCTGTGTAACAAACCTACACGTTCTGCACATGTATCCCAAAATTTAAAGTAAAATAAAAAACAAAAAACAAAAAAAGTTTTATATTAATCACAATTTCAAGTAAATACAAACTACATTTTAATCAGTAATATAATTTAAGAGGTGTAATTGTAGGTTAATCACACACCTAACTTGGGGCCCAAGGGAATAAATTCAAATATAGAATATTATGTGATATATATTGGTTGTTATTGACTATACTTCACAAGATATGATGAAAAAGACATGTTCTCAAAAAATAGCAAACTGGTTTGGGAAAAAGAAGAGAATGGTAATAGAAAAGTTCCAGAAATTCATGTTCTTGCTATATTTAAAAAGCTGACAGCTTTTAAAGTTGAAAAAGAAAATCTTAAAGTGCAAATTTTAATTTCAATTTAGTCTGCAACAATGATCAGATTAAGAGCACGTCTTTCGCAGCTATTGTTAACACCTCTCAATTAACCAGAGGGCCACATAGCAAATAACAGATAAAGAGTGAATATCTACCAACAAGCCATTTCAGTCCCCAAATACACTTTGAAAAGGGCAAAGATGCAAAAAAGTAGCTGACCGGGGAAATGTGTCAAGACAAAGTATGGTTGTGATTACTGTCATGAAGAGTTGACAGCAATCAAATTAAATAAAAGAATCCTACTAAAGTTTTGAGATAATAATAAGTCTCAAAAAAAAAAGAAGCCTGAACTGAAAAAGCCTGGGCAGTCACATGATTCTTGTACTCCTAGCTTTCTCTGGATTCGAAGGAAAATGACAAAATCCACATTGCACAGTAGAACACCAATTCACCAGGATTATATGGATTTCTAAACATGCTCAAATATACCTGTGTGGTTAACTTCTATAAATTTACTCCTGTATTTTTTCCCTTTGACTCTTTCTCTCTAGCAACACAACCACTACTTTTTTGAAGCCTAACTCATATGTTTCCTTTCCTATGAATTTGTCTGTGATCTCTCAAACAGACCTAATTCCTCTCTCCACATTACTATTTCAGAACTCTTTTTTTTTTTTTTTTTTTTTTGAGAGAGGGTTTTGCTCTGTCGCTCAGGCTGGAGTGCAGTGGTGCCATCATAGCTCACTACAACCTTGACCTCAGCAGATTCAAGCGATTCTCCCACCTCAGCCTCCCAAGTAGCTGAGACTACAAATGTGTGCCACCACACCAGGCTAACTTTTGTATTTTTTGGTAGAGACAGAGTTTTGCCATGTTGACCAGGATGGTTTCCAACTTGTGTGCTCAAGCAATCTGCCCACTTCAGCCTCCCAAAGTGCTGAAATTACAGGCATGAGCTACCTCTCTTGGCACAGAACTCTTCTTAAACCTCTGTCAGAATGCTTAGCACATTGCCTCATCATTTTTCTTTTAATAATTTTCTGCCTGATTATGATGTGAACACTTTTGCATCCTCAGTACCTGGTAACCAATAAGTGTCTTTCCAATAAATAAATGAAAGAAATAACTATGCACCCAAAATCACAAATTAGTATTTTTTTTTTTATTTCTCTAAACTCAGAACTACTCTTTCTATACAATTAACGTTATACAGATTTTGGAAGCACAATGAAATGAACTAATTAAACAAATTATTTGTATTGAATGTAATCTGTATACGTTAACTATTAATTCTATTTCAGAAAATGAATGTTTTTCTTAGAAAAATCATAAAATAGGAAAACAACTGTCTAGTATAACAGTATGAGTGTTGGTAAAAGGCATGCTGATTTAGTCATGAAGAAGTATTTGATAAGTCAAAGTAAATGACAATGATTATTGATACGTTAAATATAACAATTCTTTCTTAACTTTACCAAAACTTAAAATAATACATCTATGATAGAAAGTGTGCTAAAATTAATTAGCAAGTAGTGACATAAAGTCATGCGCACATTTCTTTAAAGGCCAATGATTGAGCTATCTCGCCCTATTACATTTTGTATGAAAAGTTCTTTCAGAATAAAGGCATCATTATATCAGGGATATAACCCAGTTAAACTTACAGACTGGATCAGATAGTGAGTATTCTAAATTTATTTCCACCTACCAAAGCCTTTAATCTCTGAGTAAGGAGCCACTTTTAAGGAAATAGAAAACAAGAGTTGAATGGATTCTTTCACCTTGTTTTCTGAGGGCAGAGAATGTCTCTAAAATATGTTACTCAATAAATATACTTAAAATTGTGGGCACATTGTCTCATGCTGGAATTACAGGCCAACTACAGGCATTATGAGCCAATGCCTGTAATTTCAGCATGAGAACAATGCACCCCACAATTTGAGGTATATTTATTGGGAGGCCAAGATGAGAGGATTCCTTGAGGTCAGGAGTTCCAGACTAGCCTGGGCAACACAGCAAGACTTCCATCTCTACAAAAACAAAAAATACAAAAAAATTTAGCTGGGTGTGATGGTATAATACTGTAGTCCCAGCTGGGATTGCTTGTATCTAGGAGTTTGAGGTTATACTGAGCTGTGATTGCACCATTGCATTCCAGCCTGGGCAACAGACTGAGACTCTGTCTTAAATTAATAATATAATATAATATAATATAATATAATATAATATAATATAATAATAATATAATATAATATATAAAATCTACCTAACATGCCACTAACTTTTTCATTAAAAAGGTGCTTCTACAATCCATAATTCCAATCAACAGCCACTAACTTTACAAACAAGATTATTCTGACAATTCTAACATTCAATAAGCAAAATAAAGACTTCTTATCATCCACATTTGGAGATCTGTGTTTCAGATTAGAATGCAATTTAACCACCTATGGGGTGTAGATTCTAGAGTATGGTAATTAATGAAATCTTAGTATAAATTAAACTAGAAAATACACATATCAAATTGCCGATGCTCACCTCATAAAATTAGTGTCCTTCATGCATGTTGTTAATGGATGGGAGCTTGTCACATTGTATAGAAATAAAGAAAGGCTCCTTAACAGTAAAGCCTCATCAAATAACAGATTGTCTTCATACTAATGACACAATGGCAGTTAGATATTTCATTCCGAGAGAAAGCTATCATACCAATATTGTTTATGTGAAATTGAAAAATTATATACTGAGTTTGCGACTTCTTTTTGAGGAATGTAACCTTCAGCATTATTCTGATATAAAAGCTTCCACACTATTTTGTAAAGAAAATATTAATGTAGTCATGTGTAATCTATTAGTATAATCTATTTAGTACAATACAGAAACAGAGTGGTGTTCTTATTTACATACTGAAATGTGTATGTTATGTAGGATACATATATTAATAATTAAAAATTTCCTAGTAAATATATGTTATAAGGTATAATTAATAATGTATTATGTTAAAACAATAGTCTGTCATCTTCAAAACAAATGTCCTTTAGGATTTTAAAAATTTCTTGGCAAACCTACATTATTTTATTAATTACTTTCCAAGATTTTATTAGAAGAGACTTAAAAATTAATTTACTCTATTGCAAAATCAGGGCTATAATCAGGTTTAAAATATTGACAGCAGTTGTAATAGGTGGAATTCTAAGATGGGTTGCCAAGATTCCTGGGTCATGATATATACACATCTTCTCTTAATTTTTTAAAAGCTAATCTTGGTATAGTTTGGAAGGAACTGTGCAAATGTAATTAAAGTATCAGATCTGATTTTAAAATATAAAATTATTTGAGTGATCCTAAGCTAACAACTCTGAATCTTTAAATTGACTGTAGAGATCATAGTCAGAAGTCAGAATTTCAAAGTGTGAAAAAAATTCAATGAGAAGAAAATTCTCTTTCTAGCTTTTAAAATGGAAGGGGTGGCATAAAAAGGAATGCTGGAGTTATTTAGGGTTGACAGCAGCCCCTATCTGATAGCTAGCAAAGAAATGAGGACCTCAGTGCTACAACTGCAAGTAACTGAGTATGACCAACCAACTGAAGGAGCTTGGAATCTGATTCTTCACCAGAGCCTCCAGGTAGAAATGTAATCCAGCTAACAGCCTGGATTTCAGCCTTATGAGAAACAGAGCAGGGAACCAGGCCATGCTATGCTAGAATGCTTATACGTGGAAATTGTAACCTAATAGTGTTGTATTAATCTGTCAAATTTGTCATAATAATGCTGCACAGCAATAGAAAATAAATACAGATTTTGCCACTTGGAAGTGGAGTGCTTTTGAAAGAAATAGCTAAAATATAGGAGAGGTTTTTGAATAGGGCAGTGGTAGAGGGTGAACAATTTTTGATAAAAATGTAGAATATGTTTATCAAAATCTTCATTGTCTTGAACAAACTGTTCAACAAACTATGGGAGTGAATACTTATGAAATCCAGGAAAGATGTGCAAATTTCTTGAGAAAATTGTATCAGCAGAAACACTGTTTAGCTTTGAATAAACAGTTACAATACAAAATAGAAGGGGGTTGTTGGAACTCCAAATATTACTGGCATCAGGCAGTCTGATAAAAACTACTCTGCAAATGCACAGAGTACATTTTTAGGAAAAAGGATGGGTGACTAAAAACGAGGAACCAGAGCCTAGAGAATTTAAAACAGGAATTAAGATTGACATGATGAATTAACTACAGCAAACTAAATATATTAATATAGATATGAAGTTTGGCTCCATTCTATCCCCTTTGGGTGTGACCCTTAGTAAACATTATAACCGTTATGAGACATGCTATCCTTACCTGCAAATTAAGAAAATTTGTATGCTTGTAAGAATTAAATAAAATAGAATACACACACACACACACACCTGCACACACACACACCTGCGCACACACACGCATATGTATGAATAGGTCCTAGTCAGAGATGGAATCATATTGGACATTTAATAACCCCTTGTTGATATCATTGCCTTATAGTTATTTTACAGAGACATCATGGAGACTTAATAATTCCCAAATTAAGAAATAAAAACTTAAAAAAGCAATTCGATAGGATATGCCATAGAGCAATTAACATATCTAATGTATTATTTTTATCAATATTCCAGAAATCTCTAATATTATATTTAGCTTATGTAATAATTCACATTGTATATTTTAAAAATATACTAGAGCAGCTACATTACTGGCAAAATTCTTAGGGTCATATTTAATGTATAAGAAATGTATTTTTTAATTTGAAAAAATAAAAAAGTTTAATCACATATTTTCATGAAAAGTTTAGATTCAATATAATTTTTTCTCTTTTAACTTGTTCTTAATTCAATAGAATGCTTATTCTTACAATTTCTCTAAGCCGTACGTATTGATGCAGAAATACGAACAATGAAAATACAAAAAATAGATAAATAAAAGGAAACAATTGTTTACTCCATTTGAGACATTCCTTGAACTATATGCTTTAGTCCTAAAATGTACTCTTATTTTATCCTGTTTTATAAGCAGCTTATCAAATATCTAACTTATACCATTAGTTATCTTTTTTGCTATATTCATAAATAAAAGAAAAGCATGTTATATATCTTCCAAAAAACTATTACTGCCCACAAATCTTTATTTGATTCTGAGTCTAAAATTATTCTATTTATATCATAATTTACAGAGTTTGAATTTATAAATTATATATTTTCAACCTATATTATATAGATAAAATCTTCAAATTATTATCTTAGTCATTCTTTCAAATGCAAGTTCCCTTATTATGCTAAATTATTTTGTCCAGTTGGAAAAATAATTTAAAAATATATACGTATAAAAAGAATAAGCAATCAGGAAATCGATATATATATATAATTATTTGATGATTAAGACACAGCTAAGATAGAAGTTTGCTGACATTACTGATATCCAATATATCGAAGATTAAAATTATTAACCCATGTACTCATTCAACTTATATTTACCTAAAACTAAAATATACCATGTGTTAGACACGCATGCACGTAGTAATAAACTTGAAACTCCTGAAAGGAAAAGGATATGCTTTCTATCTTTGTTATTATAACACTACCCTTAAAACTTGTCTTTTAAAATTGCCATATATGAAGGGATTGTGAGATCATATATAAATAGGTAAATTAAATAAATTGAGTTTAGTGGGATAGACATGGAAATATGTAATTACAAATATACTGCAAGAGAGATCCACTGCTATGTATATGTATACTCTAGAATTGTACTTGAGAGGTAAGAGGGTTTATTTCAGAGAAATACTCACAATAAAGACAATAGGGGAAGAATTTAAAGATGAATCAAGGTTTAAAAAGGGCAGATGGTTCTTTCCACAAAATTAACAGCCTTTGCAAATTTAGGGAGTTCTAAAACACTGAGGTACGATAACAAGTGGATCGGTCAGGATGAGAAGTGAGATTTGAGTGCGAGAGAGATGAAAGATGAAGCAGAAAAATCACTGATGGCCACTTAAATGTAGAACTTAAGTTTTAGGTTTCTGAGAATGAATGTGTTGATGAAAAATTTAAAATAGAATTGTAATGTAATTTGCTTTTTTTAAAAAACAACATTTATTGGTAGAGTGTCTATAGCAGAGCTGTAGTCATAGGAAAAGTAAGAAACATGTTACAAACATTAGGCTGCTAGGGATCTGGAGTAGTAAAATGAGGAGAAGGCTGTAGATTCATAATAAAGAAAATTTTTAAAAGATCAGAAAAAGATAAATAGATTGGAAATTGATTACTATTTCAGATGCACTTAAAGTGGCACAACAATATGAATGTACTTAATAAAGTTGAACTTTGCATGTAAAACTGGTAAAAATGATAAATTTTATGTTGTGTCTATTGTACTGCATTTCAAAAAACCTACTTGCATGAGGTAACTTCTAAATAAGTTTTTTTATTAAAAAAGTGTGAGTCAGTAAAATGAAAATGATTTAAAAACACATATTAAGTTAAACCTACTAAAGTGTCTGTATTTGTTTTTTTGTTTTATTACCAAAGTTTAAAAAAATAATAACCTTCAGGGCATGCTTGGGCATACTTACAAGGTTTTGCAATAGGTTTACGTAATTTATAATTTTATTTTAAGCAAGTAAGATTAAGAAGAAACATATTGTATAACTGAATCATTTGCATTTTAACTGATAGGAGACACTCAGTGTGATGTAGGAAAAGGAAATTAACTAGGAGTGTTCAGGATTTAAATGCTAACTAGCATGGGCACACCCGGATCAAAAAGTTTAAATTCTCCAAGAAGCTGTAAAAATACCAAGAAGCATATGAGGCCAGAGTTTTTCATCCTGGACTGGAGAACATAATGGTTTTGGAAAAACTGGGAGGATCAGTAATCACCATAAAGTATTTATCTTACAAGTACTTATTTTATTTTGACATAAATTGACAGACTTTTAATCTTTCTCAATATGTTCTGGGAGATGATGCTTTGTTTATCTGAACTTATTTTTTGAATAAGTCAACGGTGTCCTAAAATTTCTGAGAGAAAGGCTGCTGTAGCTGAAAACAGCACTATAGAGAGCAGCCAGCCAGGTTGTGTCATCATGAGTTACAGCCACGCATCTTTACTACTGCTGTTTCCCTACAATCACTGCAATGAATTACAGTAATACATTCAATCCTGATAAATGATCTACTCAGCTTCTGCTTAAATTAAACTGACTGCAATCCAGATGAGTGCAGCCACATATTAACGCTGGGTCCACCATTTCTTGTCTCTATCTGGGTGAATTATGGAATGGTAGTGCTAGCTTTATGCATTGATTAACATTGCTGCTACAGCTTTTTCACAGATCAATGTTCAAGTGGAATGAAAAGTAGGCTCAAACATTCTGCTGCTCACATTTAATTCTGTCATCATAAAAATAAATGTGTAGTGCTTAAAATCAAATCTTATAACACTAGACATAGCCATGCCACAAAATATTCATCTCTAATTTCTTTTACAATTAGTATATGAAGATAATATTCACAAATACCAGTACAGATACCTAAGGAGTAATGACTATCTTTTTTTTTAATAATGTTTTACCTGTTTCTTGAGGGTCCAAGGAATACTCTCAAGTTGAATGATTTTATATATTCGTAATATGCCTTTTGAAGACTCAGTCCATTGTATTTAATTTAATATTTTGTTTGAATACACGAAACACACACACACACACATATACACACACACATACATTTCTCAGTTGAACAGTGTTAGCTCTTGATTTAATAATGTTATATTTTTCATAAAATGAGACACATTTACTGTATCATATTTTCATTTTGTCTGGCTTGCAGGAAGCTTAGAATTGAATGAAGTGCTTAAACATTTAACAATAGAAGCACAGACTAATTGTAAAAATTATTCTCCACTGCTCTCTATTTTGATAATGCAGCTTTAAATATCCACCTCAAAGTAACTTCAAATTCTCTACAGAATATGTGGATATAACAACATTAAAATTATGTGCGATATTAAGACCATATGCATGATTTCTACACAGAAAAAAAGATATTTATAATTAAAGTGATATTAATATAATAGGAAAATAATAGCATATCTTTATGTGGAAAATTGTTATCCTATAACATATATTCTTCAACATATTGCATTTATCCCCAATTATTTTTCTGGGAGCTTTCAAAATGTTTGTAGACTAGTGTTAAGTACTAAGAAAAACAAAGTATGAAGTTTAAAATTACAGGGTTCTGCTATAAATGGGGTTCAGAACATTTTTCAAAGCTACTTTCTACTTCACTTCTGTTAAGGTAAATGAAGCAATGCCCAGTAGTCACTGTGGGCCAATTACTTATTTTGTATCTATCAGATAAACATCCTGCTTTATACCTAGTATGTAACACTAGCAAGGAGTAGTGTGAGTTCATCCCTGGTGGAGAAAGGGGTTTAAAGTTTCCATCCCCCTGTACAAATGTTTTTGTCATTTTTATAACAAGGAGGTAATGTTTGCAGGACATCTGAAAACTTTAAATGTTTTCCTTTTACCTGACTTAAAGAAACAGAAAATTTGGGGCAGGGGGTGGCTATCATCGCTATTCTTCAAGTGCTCAAATGCATGGAGGTGCTTTTATTAAATCATGAAAATTAAGAATAATGTTATAATGATGAAAATGTACATTACATTTTACTAGAGCAACAATTAAAATTTATAGTTATAGGAACTTTATGAAATTTCAACTTGCCTCTCTGAGTTACTGGCTATCTTATTTTTCTATTTTTAATTTGTGTTTATTGCCACTAATGATGTTGTGATGAAGCGTCTCATTTATCTGTAGAAAACCTAGGCTGGAATTTAGGTTTTTAAACTATTTTCTATAGAAACCTTGAAGCACTTGAAGTTTCAATATTCTTACTGTATCTCTTCATAGAAACATATTTATTAAAGAACAATATTTTAAACCTTTTCCTGTTTTAGATTTTGTTATACTTTCATTTTGTCTATGTGATTTGGCAAACAAAGTAACTTTTATACAATTTGAAAATGATATCCAATTTGTGGAGATTTGGAGAAAATACAACCTAAAGCAATTTAATAAAGATCATATATGACTTAGCCAGTTTCACTGTGTATATTTATTACTCAGAATAATATCTTGATTCTGAAATGGCACCAAGACAGAAATAACTCAATTGTATGAGAGTTCCTCATTTGCCACCAGAAAGTACTTTTTCTTTCCTGTAATATTTTTCCATCTTATGAATTTGTGTATATCTTTATCTACTTGCAAATGATTTGATGGTCATTTATTTTTTTCTGTGTTTGGTATCTCTTCTAAAATAGAATACATTTTGACTGCATGATAAAGATTTTCCAATATACCATTGCTTAAATATTACAATAATTTTGGAGCTAGGCAGCTGCTGCATTGGTTGCATAGTCTGACAAGGTATCTTGTAATTTTCCTCATGCTTCCCACCTCATTTTCATAAAATGGCTGAGCCAGTGCAGCCATCTGTCAGTATTTCACATGGAAAAAGGAAAAGAGACATACGTGCATTCTTCAGTGAAAATTTTCCTCCTTAATTGTGAAGAGAAGCTCTCCATGAAAATTCAACCTGCATGTCACTGACTGTAACACTACTACAACTGCCTCTTCAGGTTTATAGATTCCCTGAAGTAAAAGGCAAGGAAGAAGTTGGTTGGGAAATAATTTGACTGGGTGTGTCTTTACACTGTCTACCCAAGGATCTACCCAAAACTTTTTTTTTCCCTAAATACTAGACCCCTTCTCACCTCTTGAGATTATTCACTCTTCTCCTTGGCTTTGAAATCTGAGAGAAAATCTTGAGTTATCCCTTTTCTGTATATAAACATATAATTATAGAAAACATTGGCTTGGTTTTATTTATATGATTACTCTCAAATGGATTTGCTTCTCTGCATTTCTATTATCCCTATTAGTTCACATCCATAAATTCATTCTGTATTTTATCAGTCTTTTACATTTTCCTGCTTTAGTCTTTAAAATACAATTCTAATTATTGTTCAGAAGGTATGGAATTACAGTATTCTTGATTTGCTTTAGCACAATATAGAAATTCCTCAGCTTGGCAAGAAGTACCTTCCTGAATTTTCCTATATTTTATTCTTAATCTCTCCAACCAGGATATTAAATTATTACTGGTTAAACTGCATTATTTTTAGTTTTAGTCAAGGATGCCATCATCTCTCCATTTGTTTTTCTTTTACATTAGAGATTGTACTTCAAATGGAAGAAGTATTTTCATACTTTAAAAACCATGACTAGATACAATGTCTTAAAACACAAGAAAACCAAACAAAATATTGCTCACTCATACTTCCATCCCTGTCCCAAACAAAATGTTGCTCTTGTCACCTATTCCTATTCTGAACCTGCCCTTCTCTGTTTACAAAGATGTTGTAAGCTTTTCAGATTCATGCTGTTGACATTATTGTAATTTCTTCAAGCTTCCTGAGTTGTAACTTTGGAGTTTTGGTTTTAAATTTTTGTGCATATGCCTTATCAAGTTCAACCTCAATCATTCGTCTTTGTCCCTTGAGTTCCATTCTTTCCAAAATCCAACAACTTTTTCATAGCTTTTATGAATACCCATCTACAAGGTTACAAAGCCTTTTTTAAAAACAAAATCTTATTGTTGTGGTTCAATAAAAACACATCACTATTAACTAAATTCTAAATTTTATTCAGATTTCTTCAGTTTTTCCAGTAATTCCATTCTTCCATTTCAGGATCTAATTTAGTATACAAAATTGTGTTTAATCACCATGCCTCCTTAGTCTGCTGTGGCCTGTGACCATTTCTCATTGCCTTTCATGACCTTGAAGATTTTGGGGAATACCTGCCAGGTATTTTGCTGGATGTCTCTATACATGAATTTGGCTGATATTTTCCTAATGATTATAGGGTATGAGATTTTCAAATGAATGTCACAGAGATTAAGTAATTTTTTCTTTATATCAGGTCAGGTGATACAGCTATTAACTTTAATTACTTCAATAAGGTAGTGTCTGCTAAAGTTCTCTATTGTTGAGATACATTTCTCTTTTTATCCATTTCTCTTTGAAACCTAATCAGTTAGATCAGTGTACACTCAAGAGAGTGGACTCCTAGCAAGGGAGTCTCTGAGTAAATTATAAATTTGTTGGCATTTCCTTGAAAGATTTCTCCCTTCTTCAGCATTTATTTATTATACAATATTTTATCAGTATGGCTCATGGATATTTATTTTATTCTTTGGTTATAAGCTAATATTAAGATATTAATTTTTGTTTTTTAAATTGTTCCAGTTTTTCCCATTGGGAACTCTTTCAGTTTGCCTCCTTTTGTTGGTGGTGGTGTTATATGTTTGTTTTATATGACTCTAACATTTATTTTTTGAGCACTTCCTTACTTTCTGGCACTCTAAGATGTTCCAAACTTAATTTGTATTTTTCCTTGCATTTTGCTAGAGCTGTAGCTCTAGAATAAACTGTTTCTCTAGGTATCCCTGAAGATCAGAGAATGGTATTTTTTATCAGAAAATGGCATTTAGACACGAGGTTTGAGCACAGGATTTGATTGCTCTTATTGGTGTGTCACTAGGCCTATATGTGTGTGTGTATGTGTGTGTGTTGCCATATGTGTATACACACATGCACATACATATAGCCTATATATCTAAACATATATCTAAACATGAGTTTATAGTAATGTCTCCAACTTTAATCTAGTGCCATATGTTTTATTTTCAATTAATTTTTATTGCTCTACTTTTTTCTCTTCAACACTCTTCTTTTCATTGCTGTAAGTTTTTGTTGGATAGAGTTATAGTTCCTAATACACAATTGAAACATGGCTTTTCTTCCATAGTACTTTTATTTTCACTCTATTTATTTTCCCAAAGATCTATCAATCTTTTCCTCTGAACAATTTATGCCTATTAAATTATCTAGTGTACAGTTTTAAATGTAAGAACATCCTGAAGCATTAATTTTTTTTAGAAGTTTCAATCATATGTTGCCGTAAGTATTATAAACCCACAATAAGGGTATATTATAATGCCACTCCTGGGATCATGTAATGTTACAGGTAAAATCTTGAATACTTTTTAGAGTTTGGATTAATAATACCTGAAACAGGGAAAGAGCCATAAGACATGAGATTCCATGCATAAGAGCATACTACTTCCTAGTAGTGTCTGGGATACTGATTTTTCAAAATGTCTATATCTGCTAATATGCCAAACAATGTAAGATATGATATTTAATCTCAGATCTATTTTTAAAAGGTTAGACAGGAAAATAAATGTATAGATTCAACAAGTTCACATGGTATTTATGACAAGTAAATGTACATTAGTGTGCTTGTTGTTTACACCTTGAAACAGTAGATAGCTAAATGTTTCTTCATTTGAAGACATTTACACAAGTTTTTTTTTTAAAGTGGTCCATCAGCACTAATATCAGAATGAATAAGTTTTGAAAAGTAGGTTACATTCCTTTATATGTAAAATGACTATATCTGCAGATATAGTCAAAGTTTAATAGAGACCTTGGGGCAACTAATCAGTATACAGGAACATACCTGCCTGGGGATGCAGTTAGATCTGGACAGAGAGAGAAGAGCAGAATTAACCCTTTTGAAAAAATAAATAAAATGTACTTGAATGTGTCAGTTAGTGGTAATTCATCTTACAATTATTATTTCCATGTAATGTTAGTTATATATTTTATGTTTTAGTGCAAAACCTTTTACAACTTGAAGAATTTTTAAAACAAAAATGATTACTTTCTGGTTAGTACCTTATTATGCTACAAATCAGAGTTTAAAACTGGATTTAATACAATTATTACAAGTATTGAGTTGCTTACATTTCATTTAAGATACACTGTTTAAAATCACAGAGATCTTTTTTACACTGTAGATTTCAAGTAAAATAGAAATGCACAGAATGACTAGTGATTTAATTCATTATCACCACACTTAAAACACTTAGTGACATATATTAAAAATTACTCTTGTAGGCCGGGCGTGGTGGCTTATGCCTGTAATCCCAGCACTTTGGGAGGCCCAGGTGGGTGGATCACTTGAGGTCAGGAGTTCAAGACCAGCCTGGCCAACATGGCGAAACACTGTCTCTACTAAAAATACAAAACTTAGCCGGGCGTGGTGGTGGGTGCCTGTAATCCAAGCTACTAAGGAGGCTGAGTCAGGAGAATCGCTTAAACCCAGGAGGCAGAAGTTGCAGTGAGCCGAGACTGCACCACTGCACTACAGCCTGGGCAACAAGAGGAAACTCCGTCTCAGAAAAAAGAAAAAATAACAAATTTCTCTTGTCACTTAAAAAAATGTTCATATAATAATGACATTATAAGTGAATTATAAATAAGGAAATCTTGTCATACATTATGGTGTCATAAATTTTACTTATTACAATATATTAAAAATGATTTTAATTAAGTAAGGATATAATCTTATTGTATGAATGCCAATACTTTTTATGCATATTGCTTCTTCCAAATGAATTTAGGTTGCATAATGTAAGTGTGAATCTACTAAAGATTATTAGTGAGACTGGAAAATTAACTCTTGTTCAGAATCAGAAAACAGAGGGAAAGAAATAGAAAAAGGGACCAAATAGTAGGCTAAAAATATAGAGGTTTAAGAGGCTAATTTAAGAATTATTTTTAATTTTCCAGTAGACCATGTATGTGTTTGCCTCTATTTATTATTTTTTTACAGTGCAGTACAGTTAAGTTACAAGTTACAAACTTAATTTGTTGCAAGTTAAAATTCTTCCAAGGAAAAGATTACCCAAAAATCAGTTACTCCGTTTTTATTTTTTAATTGCCTTTTAGGAGATTAACAAGATTTGTATCTAACCTAGAAATCTTATTCAAATATTCCTGTATATTAAAAAAGTGTATACAAATATACGTGAATACTTTTCTGATAAACAGTACAACTTTCTTCAATGTTCTTGGAACCAACTTACCATATCAAGATTCCATTCTTAATTTACAAGTTAAATAAAATCTTTTAGAAGTGTACATTAGATTTTCTTATTTTGAAAGCAAGAAAACACTTTATGTATGGAAATGCAAGGATCATAAAAATCTGCATTACTCTATAAGTGATGAGAATATCGGCAAAAATTATCGGAATCAACTTTGTCACATTTCTGACAATTAGCAAAGTCTTGCAAGAATCCAGCGGTGTTTAACCAAGAAAAAAGAGTCTTAACCTCTGAAACAGCAGTGATTTTTTTATATTTACACTTACTGGATTACCAATCATTCTTCTCAAATCCAAAATAGTCTTGAAAACCAACAACTTTACCGTAATAGTAGCTGAGAAATAAGCAGCTTTGAAACCACTGAAATGGGAAGAATGAGTTTGAATCTCTCCCAAAGCTTTCTGGCCATAAAAGTGTCACCAATTTACTGTCTGGAAGCTCTAAAACCTTCATTATTAGGGTTTGTCTTTATTTGAACTCAGTCAGAGTTTCTAGAGGGCATACAAACATGCAAAGTAAGTTAGTTGACAAATTCTGTATTTGTGATAACTTTATAGACCTTAGCGATGACAATGATAATTTACTGTGTAATATATGTGTATTAGTCTGTTCTCATGCTGCTACAAACAAATACTTGAGATGGGGTAATTTATAAACAAAAGAGGTTTAATTGGCTCACGGTTCTGCAGGCAGTACAGGAAGCATCAAGGCTTCTGCTTGGCTTCTGGGGAAGCCTTGAGAAACTTACAATCATGGCGTAAGATGGAAAGGGAAACAGGAACCTTTTACATAGCTGTAGCAGGAGTAAGAGGGTGGAGAAAATGCTACACACTTTTAAATGACCAGATCTCATGAAAACTCACTCACTAACATGAGAACAGCACCAAGGGGGAAATCCACCCCCATGATCCAATCACCTTCCACCAGGCCCCACTTCCAACACTGGGGATTACAATTGACATGAGATTTGGGTGGGAACACAGATCTATAATGTATCAAGATGGTATGTTAGCATTTAATATACATTAATCAGATGTTGCAATAGAATCATATAATGATCTATTTAAACACGGTTTTCAAGCAAGAACCCTTTGAGGATAAAACATTTAAAATATAGCCTATTATTGGAACAATCACCAAATCAATAGTGAAAGGAGGAGTGCTTATTTGACAAATGGGATCTAATTAAACTAAAGAGCTTCTGCACAGCAAAAGAAACTACAATCAGAGTGAAAAGGCAACCTACAGAATGGGAGAAAATTTTTGCAATCTACTCATCTGACAAAGGGCTAATATCCAGAATCTACAAAGAACTCAAACAAATTTACAAGAAAAAAACAAACAACCCCATCAAAAAGTGGGCAAAGGATATGAACAGACACTTCTCAAAAGAAGACATTTATGCAGCCAAAAGACACATGAAAAAATGCTCATCATCACTGGCCATCAGAGAAATGAAAATCAAAACCACAATGAGATACCATCTCACACCAGTTAGAATGGTGATCATTAAAAAGTCAGGAAAAGAACAGGTGCTGGAGAGGATGTGGAGAAATAGGAAGGCTTTTACACTGTTGGTGGGACTGTAAACTAGTTCAACCATTGTGGAAGACAGTGTGGCAATTCCTCAGGGATCTAGAACTAGAAATACCATTTGACCCAGCCATCCCGTTTTTGGGTATATAGCCAAAGGAATATAAATCATGCTGTTATAAAGACACATGCACACGTATGTTTATTGCAGCACTAATCACAATAGCAAAGACTTGGAACCAACCCAAATGTCCAACAATGATAGACTGAATTAAGAAAATGTGGCACATATACACCATGGAATACTATGCAACCATAAAAAATGATGAGTCATGTCCTTTGTATGGACATGGATGAAGCTGGAAACCATCATTCTCAGCAAACTATCACAAGGACAAAAAACCAAACACCGCATGTTCTTACTCATAGTTGGGAATTGAACAATGAGAACACTTGGACACAGGGTGGGGAACATCACACACCAGGGCCGGTTGTGGGGTGGGGGGAAGGGGGAGGGATGGCATTAGGAGATATACCTAATGTAAATGACGAGTTAATGGGTGCAGCACACCAACATGGCACATGTATACATATGTAATAAACCTGCACGTTGTGCACATGTACCCTAGAACTTAAAGTATAATAAATAAATATATATATATATATATATATATATATATATATATATATATATATATAAAGAAAGAAAATCAAAGGAAAAAAAGAAAATGACACAGTTTATGCAAAGTTCTAAGGTGGGAAAGAGCAGAGTGTTTGATTGTTTTATGGAAGGTTTGGGTGCCTGGCCAGCAGTAAATCAAGAATGAAGTATCACCCAGCAATCCCACTACTGGGTATCTACCCAAAGGAAAATAAATTGTTATATCAAAAGACACTGCACTGGTATGTTTATTGCAGCACTATTCAAGATAGCAAAGTCATGGAATCAACCTAAGTGCTCATCAACAGATGACTGGATAAAGAAAATATGGTATATATACACCATGGAACACTATGCAGCCATAAAAATGAATTAAATCATGTCCTTTGCCAAAACAAGGATGGAGCTGGAGGCGATTATCTTAAGTGTAATAACTTAGAACCAGGAAATCAAATACTTTATGTTCTCACTTATAAGTGGGAGCTAATTAATGGGCAGACATGGACATACAGAGTGGAGTGATCAACACCGGGAAGTTTAAAAGAGGAGAGGAAGAGAGAGGTGAGGGTTGAAGAGTTACCTATTCAATACAATGTTCACTATTCAGATGATAGGTATACTAAAAGCTCAGACCTCACCACTGTGCAATATAGCCATGTAACAAACCTGCACATATACCTCATTAATCTATAGAAATCAAAATTAAAAAGAGGGAACATTACAAAAGAATAAAGTGTCATAATATATGTTAGGAATTACAAGTAGAGTAATTGGGCAATCAATGTATCAAGTTCTTCAGTAAGTTAGGACATCTATGTTTGCACTAGCATTCTTTTTTGATATCATAGTTATATCATCAATCTGGATAAATTCGACCAACAATTTGTGTAGTCCCTTTAACGGAGCTGCTTCAAACATCGGTATCTTCTTGTCGATTAGGTGTTTAACCCTGACAACATCCTATACTGATCAGTCAGTGCCCAGGTGTTCCTGAACTCTTTCCTGCATTTCAGTATCATCATAACCTGCCTCCTCAATACTTATTTAACATTTTTCATGGGATAACCAATATAAACTTGCAAAGCGCAACTAAATTGCAAAGTACATCTAAGTTTTCATCTGAGAACAGCATTATTTCATCACATTAAGTAGTTATCAGTCGTTATTCTTCCTAATAAAGTTTCCAAATGTTGTCTTTTTTTGTTTACCTCTGGAAAAGAAACAAACTAATATATACATATACATATATATATATATATGACACCTATGTTTGCACTAGCATTCTTTTTTGATATCATAGTTATATCATCAAATATATATATTTTGTTTGTTTGTTTGTTTGTTTTGAGATGAAGTCTCCCTCTGTTGCCCAGGCTGGAGTGCAGTGGCACGATCTCAGCTCACTGCAACCTCCACCTTCCAGGTTCAAGTGATTCTTCTGCCTCAGCCTCCCGAGTAGCTGAGATTATAGGTGTGCGCCACCACGCCCAGCTGATTTTTGTATTTTTAGTACAGATAGGGTTTCACCATGTTGGCCAGGCTGGTCTTGAACTCCTGACATCTAATGATCTGCCTG
The DNA here is from genome assembly GCF_000001405.40 of Homo sapiens. NCBI lineage: Eukaryota > Metazoa > Chordata > Mammalia > Primates > Hominidae > Homo > Homo sapiens. The sequence continues at coordinate 86,288,276 of NC_000013.11, read as the reverse complement.
CCTCAGCCTCCCAAAGTGCTGGGATTACAGGTGTGAGCCACCACGCCCAGCCAGAATAAAATATTTAAATAATACTTAAGTAACACTTATTTTGAAGGCTCTCATTATTGTAAGCATTAATTGAATATGTAGCCTACGTTTTCACTCTTTGGTTTAGTTTTCCAAACCAAGTTTCCAAAGCGTATTTGTGTCCTCTAAGTGTTTTGCAGCATGGGTGTAATGTGGCTATCATGCGGTGAAAGGGGTAGTATTTCAGTTTCCTTAATATAATCATATGCTTTTCATGGATGTGGCTTACTAAAGACAATAAAAAATCTCACAGAAAATTGTTAAAATTAAATTACTTATAGCTATTGGGAAAGAGACTTATTTATTAACCTTTATAGGTAACATTAAATTAATTAATTTAAAGACTTTCACTTAGAAATGTATGCACAGTATTTTTTTTCAGACATATAAACATTTCTGACTATGTTTTTCTCAATTATTTTTTATTTGTTTGCTTCTAGGTGAACAGAGCCAAGTATCCTAAACAGGTGCAATTCATTTATTCATAACGCAAATGAATATTGAGCTCCTACTTTCATCAGGGGACTTTGCCAAATGCTTACTATACTCATGTTTCCTAAATCTAGGGTGAAGAAGAATAGGGGTTTAAAATAGTCTTCATCTCTAGCTGTTAAAAATCTACTGAATTTCAATAAGCAATTGATTCGTGACATTCTTCTAGGAAATTCTCTCTCTTGTTATTTAAGCCAAGTGTGACTGTAATTTCCTAAAACATTTTTTAAGACAAAATATATATTAAATTCAGCCTTTTCAACTTTACAAACTATACAGACTAAATTTATGTAGTCTGTACTACAGCCCAACCACTTTAAATACTTTCGACTATGTTGAACTCTTCCCAGATAGAGACTGTGGTTTAATCATTTTTATAGCCCAGTTCAGCAGAATACTATTTATTGAGTAGGTAAGTAATAAATATAGCAGGTCTTCAAATAACATTTTGTTCACCATCTTTTGTTATAAACCTGATGAAGGGAAAAAAAAAATGGTTCCTGGCGGGGGCCACTGTCAGTGTGAAGTTTGCATGTCCTCCCCATGTCTGTGGGGTTTTTCCTGGGTACTGAAGTTTCCTTCAATATCCCAAAGCTGTGCACATTAGGTTCATTGGCATTTCTACATTGTCCCATTCTGAATGAGTGTGTGTGTGTGTGTGTGTGTGTGTGCCCTGCAATGAGATGGCATCCTGTCCACTGTTGGTTCCCACCTGTGCCCTGAATTCCCAGGATAGCCTCTGGTCACCCATGATCCTTACTGAAATAATGGAGTTAATAATTGTCTTACTTGTTTTTATTAATCTTTCTTAAGTGCATACATGAATCACATGTATTTTAATTTTTAATATTATAATTATCTTGGTCTTCATTTAGAAAATGGTTGATGTTTTGTGATCAGAAATGTGCCATAGGAACTTACCTTTTGTTTAAATCAATTAGCTCGTGGTAAAACTGATTTCATTACACGTTGTTTGCTTAAAGTCACAGTTTCCAAGAACCTATCAAAGACATGCATGAGGACTTGCCGTGTTTTGTTAAAAATGAATGTACTTGTCTATCTTTCAGATATTGTATTGAAAATCAGATGAGGCCAGGCACAGTGGCCCACAGCTGTAATCCTAGCACTTTGGGAGGCCTAGGTGGGCGGATCGCTTGAGGTCAGGAGTTCGAGACCAGCCTGGCCAACATGGTGAAACCCCGTCTCTACTACAAATACAAAAATTAGCTGGGCATGTTGTTGGGTGCCTGTAATCCCAGCTACTCTGGAGGCTGAGGCAGGATAATTGCTTGAACCTCGGAGATGGAGGTTGCAGTGAGCCAAGATCGCACCACTGGACTCCTGCCAGGGTGACTGAGTAAGACTCCGTCTAAAAAATAAATAAATAAATAATCAGATAAAATAAATTTTAAATGTAATATTCTCTTACATAAATTTTCATGTGAAAATTCAGTTTTCTCTAAATAAACCAATAGTGTAAATATATCATCAGTTTTATCTGTGAAGAATTTTTCAAGAAATGTGATTCTTTCATAAAATCAGAGCCAGTTAGAGCTCCCGAGTAAATCACTGACTTGAGTTTCAATAGCATCTAAGGGACTCTTAGTAATGATGTTTTAGCAAATTATTAAATACTCCTGTTTAAAATATTTAGGGAAAAAGTATAAGCAATAAATCTACTTAAATGTCAAGTATATGGACATCACAACTATTATAAATAACAATAATGCGTGGATAGTCTCATATGCAGTTTTCTTCTAGGCTCAGAATATATTAAAATCTTGAAATCTGACAACATTCAGAATAGAGTCTATTATTTTGTATATCTATTTTAAAAATAAATATGAAAGGATTGGATTTATTTGCTCTATAAATATGTGAGTAATACAGTTCCTGAAGAATTATGATCTGAATACTATGGGAGTATATATGTCATTTCAGCAACACATCTACATTGTACATTTGTGTAAATTGGTTTGTAAGTTTATGTATATGTGTATAACTCTTTTCTCCTCATGAACGTATATCTTTGGAGAATTTAAACATTCATTTCAAAACTTTCTGTATGTATTACGTGATTAAAATTTATAATAACATATATAGTGTACAAAGAGATAGATTCCACAGAAACTATTCTATTACAAAATCTCTACAGCTAAAGTTGGCTGACTTAGTAGGTATGAAGTTGTGATTCATTCAAATAAATATCTTCAAATAAATTGATGGAAGGGACAATGGTGGACATGTTAAAGGATAGAGTCAGGAAACAAATGAACTTTTGAACCATACTGACCTTTAAATCCCATCAAAACAATAACATAATATGATTTTCTATGTCATCCATTTTTCATGGCCCTGATAAAGAGCCTGCTTCTACTTATATCTTCAAAGATATTTCTCCATGGAATGACATCTCAGAAATCCATGCTATAATTCAGTAAATCTTTTATTTTGGCAATGGTAATATTTTGTACTTGTTTCTGAATATGTGTTATGATCCCTTTAGATCAGATCTTTTGTGAAATACAAAAGCCATCCTATTTTCTCTAAATCTTTAATCAAGGATTTACATAGAGTATGCTTTAAACAAATGTTATTTGTGGTAATATGGGCCCTTAATGAAATAATCCAGCAATAAATAAATATTTTAATTACTTAGAAAATTCAAATAAATGATGTCAAGCTATACCTAGGCTAAATTATACTATGACCATTGCTTGACTATATTATGTCACTTATATTCTGCTACCATTTACTTGCATGCTATTGCCTCAGATTCGGATTTTCTACGTTTCAATAGCTCAGGAAGGTGCATACATGTAAGCAGAACATCTAATTAAAAGAATATTATTTCCAAATGTGCTTTTGAATTTATATGTGGAATCGTGTTAACTGTTCACAAATAGGAAAGGCAGAAGTCCATTTCGGGAATAACATCCGATTTCTTTGAAAATTATCTTATGGACCTATTAGAACAGATCAGGGCAAAGTGGTATGTGATAGGTGAATAGTATTAGAAACCTTGGGAGTCAAATGTTGAATCAAAGGGAATTCAAAAAGTGGTTCAGAATAAACCACTGTCAACAAATCGCCATGAAGTGTGATGATATTGAAAGAAAAAATTGGAAAACCCAGACCGAATGATAAAATAGTTAATCCCTAAAGTGCCTGGCAGAGGAAAGAAAGTTCAAGCTAAATCAATGTAGTATCTTTCCTCAGCTAATGTATTAACTTATGAGGAGGCTAGATATTGAATTTTTAGTCCAGATCTTTCACAGTTTTTTCTAGAGAGAAGAATATTGGACAGTTTTCTACTTATATGTGATATGTTTATGAAATAGTGGAAGATGTATAATGTTGATGTAAATATAATTTTCTTTTTTTAAATGTGTATTAAAATTGCCTAAATTAATGTGTAGGATGCTGGCATTTGGCATACAGGATTCAGCTTTGCAGAATAAGGACAAATGATCTCTCCAATAGTGATAACAAATATTGATAAAAAACCACTGTGGAGTGATCATTTAAAAATATGTAGAAAAATTACCTAAAAGTTCTGGGAGAATTTGCAACCATAAATTGCTTAATCAGTGTGCAAATAAGTTTGCGATCTCGGCTCACTGCTAACTCCGCCTCTCGGATTCAAGCGATTCTCTTGCCTCAGCCTCCCTAGTAGCTGGGACTACAGGCGCCCACCGTCGTGCCCAGCTAAATTTTTTTTTTTCTTTTTTTTTTGTAATAGAGACGGGGTTTCTCCATGTTGGTCAGGCTGGTCTCAAACTCCCGACCTCAGGTGATCCGCCCTCCTCGGCCTCCCAAAGTGCTGGGATTACAAGTGTGAGCCAACACGCCCGGCCGTATATTTTACTTTTTTAGCATAACCGTCAAGAAGAGATTTGAAATGAATAGATATATTTTATTGTTGATGTATTATATAAATTTTTAATGGCTAGATGATGATTTCTGGAATTATTTGAATGCATCTTGACAAAAAGAAAAGCTTTCTAGAGCTTACTCATGAACAAATGATTGGTCAAAATAACAAAAATGAATAAAAAGGAAATTCATTATACTTTCATAACAATTTTTTTTAGTCATGTGTAAAGTATTACTGAAAGAATCAATATATGTCTTGTTTTTTCCAAATGTAATTATTCATGGTTTTAAATCACTATGGCTACATCACAGTATTCTAATTGACTGTAGTAAATTCCTTTTTAGAGGAAATAACCTATCTAAAAGTGGTTTGTTACTAAAATTTAAAATAATAAACAGAAAATTGTATTATCCAATTAGTTGTATATTCCCACTGAAATAAATCTTGCTCTCAATTTCCAATACAGCAGGTAATTTCAAGGTTGTATTAAATATGGAGCAGCTGGAGGTTGCCAAATGAATGTTTTGAATGAGTACATTTTAGTGAAGTGTGTACTATCTTTTTTGACATGCATGTAATCATAACACATTTTCTGGCAGCTGGGTTCCCTAGGGCAAAATGAAGCTGCAATAGAAGATAAAACAACCTGCTTATGTAATGACCATAAAATAGTATGTATATATTTCTGAAAAATGTCTCAATCGGATGACTGACTCTAGCTGAGGTCTTATTTTACAGTTCGCATCAGTGAAGCATTTTCAAAATCCTGGGTATCTCGCTCTTTTAAACTAAATCTGAAATTTTATTTAACAAGTGAACAAAATTTCTTAATAAAATGTTTTCTAAATAAAAAGATAAAATGATTTTAGTAATTTTAATTTATCCTGCCACAAGTATATGGAACCAAAGTCATACAGGGTTTGGCGTTTTTTTTTTTTTAATTTTAATCATAAATTCAGTCTTAGAATTTGAATGAATACATGGGGAAAGTATTTTTGTGTGAAATACTCGTTAGAAATGGCTTTCTTCCCCCAGAAAAGCCTATAGTAAGCCACTGGGTTTGAATAGTATGAATAGTAGTTTTGTTTTGTTTTGTTTTAATTTCCCAGAGTCAAACTTTACCAGTAAAACAAAAAGTACACAAGTGAGTAAAACTTCCTGAGGTCTGGGACATGCTGCATGACTGCCCACATCCTTTCTCACCACATCAAAGTCATGCTTTCTGGACCAGAATAATAGATAAGTCCTGTAAGTGGGCATTTGTGGTTTATTTCGTATCACTCTGTTGAGAGCATTTAAGTTATGAAACATATCTTCTTTATATCTTAGAGAATTATTTAGCTTACATGATATTCTCCAGGGATGACCATAGTGATTTTTATTCATAAGGACTATCACATGTTTTATTTAACAAATTTAAAAAGGTTACCTACATTTATACCTTTTTGCATCAGGCTTTCTACTCTTATTCATCACGTCTCTTCCTGATCTGCATTAGTGTTGTGTACATTTAATATTTGAGAATGTGTAATTATACTGTAGAAGGAGAAAAATATACAAGATAGATGAAATTTATAAGATATCCTGGTATAGAAAATTCATATTCCAGCAGATTTCAAAATATAAGTTAACATAAAATGCTTTTAGTATGTATACTAATGTGGGACATTACAGAAACAGGCAAAATGCATTGAATAGATGATAATACATTTAGGAAAAATATCCATGATTTTCAGATGAGTAATAACAAAAAAGAAGAAGCCTAGCAGCATATAGGTTATAATATTAAATGACGGAAAGAGAAAGAGTAAAAAAAGCCAAAGGCAAATAAAAATTCTAATAGATATATTAACTCTCACACACAGAACTTGGTATTTGGGAGACAATAACAGAAAAGAGTGTGACATTTCGAGAGGTTTGAGTTTCTTGAAAACATTTAGTTATTCATATTTTTGGGAGGTACATATCTATATTTCTATTTTTCTAAAATATGTTTAATTATAAAGGCACTACAATTATTAGCATACTGATATTGACAATATTTTCTAAATGTTTAAATACACTATATATTTCTGACTGTATTAATTTTTCCTTTCTAATGTCAACACTTATCATTTCTTAGTTTTCTTTGATCATTCTTATTGAAATTTTTCCCATTGAAATATTTTAAAATATTATTTCCCTAGATTTAAAAATCTGTTTTTCTCTTTTGAGTTTTTAGTTAATTTGTCCCTCTTTATTTGTATTATCTCCTTCTTTCTATGGAACTAATATTTATTTATTATGTTTTAGCTTTAGTATTTCAGTGCTTATTTTTTTTAACTTATTTTGTTAAAAAATAATATAAATTTCCTCTAAGTACTGCTTTGCTATCTTTCTGTTTGCTTTTTGGATATGTAAGCCCTTGATTAATGCAATAATTATTTTGGATATTGCCTTTATCTTTACATGGTTGCATTTTTTTAAGGAGATGATGTTAACATTTTATTATTAAACATTCATATTTCAATATGAACAGATAATGCAGTCATAATATTGGTACTTGTTGAACCAAATACAAAATAATTTTACATGCCAAATGTCATATGTATATATGTATATAGTTCATGTGTAAATATATAACTAGACATGTACATAAAACCAATGTTTTAAACTATATTGGTTAAATTTTATCATGTTCTCTATTATTCAATGGACCTAATAAAGACAGTTTGTTGTTATATTTGTTTATTCCAATAATTTATAGTATGTTTGTTGAAAATTTTTTGATCCATCTGTTCAAATTTATAAAAAATCAGAACTCATAAATTCATTATAAATTATGCCCTTTACTGTAAACTTCATTATTCCATTTAAATTTATTTCCCTAATACATCTTTCTGTTCAAAATAACATTGATATTGTTTTGTGTTTTTTTTTTTTTTTTAATATTCTGGCCTTACTGAATCAGGTTCATACTAACATTGAAATTACTGGTTTATTTATTTTTTCACCAATAAAAATACAATATTTTATATTTTCACTCTAAAAAAAGCTGTGCCATTTATTGTCGGTTTATTATCTAATGTTATTTATATTTATTCTCTTTTTTTGGAGTTCCATTGGGCTTTTATTGAGATAAATTAACAAAAATCAAGATGTTACCATAATTTTTGAACCTTATAAATTCAGCAGACTCTGGTCCATATATGTGTACATACAACATAACACATCCCAACAAAAACTGAGCGCCAATGGAACATCTGCCAATTAACAAAAAGCCAATTTTCCCTTCCCCAATGTTTCTGAAATTTTGAGTTCCCACTCTTCACTTCTTAGTAGAACTGGTCCCTTGTGGCTAGAGATACTGGAATTCTCTACCATTTTTACTGAACAAAAAATAATTTTTTTCCTTTATTTCCAAAAAGGGAACAGTGACTGTTTTCTCCAGGCACCCCATCCCCCACAACCAATGGTTAAAATACAGCAGCCTGTGTCTTAATAACCCAGCCCTACTCCCTCCCTTGCCCAGTATTGTCTACTGGAGAATTTAAATGCACTTCTCTTGTAATCTATCAGCTGTGGAGGGGCAGAGTCCAGGTGCCAGTCTAGCTCCCTCTGACCCCATGAATTGTGACAACCTTTGGACACTTAACTCTTTACCTGAAAGATGAGTTTTTAGATCAGAAAGTAGAGTAAATTTTCTTTAGAAGTTTTAAAAAACTATCTTTAGAGATATAAACTACAACTACAATTCCACAGAAGTCTGCTAAAGTTCACCAAAAAGCTGACTTATTTCAGCTGTCATGAGGCCAATAATTTTGATAAAGATATTTGGTAAGAAAATGATTCCACAATAACAAATTTAGAGATATCTCGAATGTTGAAAAAATAGCAAATTAAAATAACATGGCTTAATTCCCAATAACTTATTTCATTGTTTGTTTCTTATCTAGAAGTTCAGGAGTGTGGCTAAAGGCAGTTTCTGATGAGGTTATGAGCTTCCAAGGTGTTTCTAAATTCTTAGTGCAGACACCCTCCCTTTTGGGGCAAAGCACCCTCTCTCCCACATCTACTAAAGAAAACCCAAAAAACCAAAAAATTAAAAAATTAAACCAAGTACCAAAATTGAAAATATTACTGAAGTAAAACCTCTAATGAGGAGTGGCATCTGAACTATCTGGGATACCACTACTGGACACGGTCTTGTAGAGGCAGCAGTCTAGTTTTGGTGCTTGACTCTTTAATAGGAATTGTTAAATGGAAAGATGCTCTAAGGACTAGGTGAAAGCCTGGACTCTTATTTTTTTTTCTTTTTTGGTCCCTCATAATAAGGAGCATTGTTACTATTACCCCTTTCCCAATGCCTCCTCATTGACCTAGTACACTGGGTTAAAAGGGAACTAAAACATTTAAAAAAAAAAAAAAACAGTTTACTGGTTTTCATTCATCTCACTCCTTTTGCCTGGAGATCAGGCCAAACATCAAGCATGTTGGGAGGGGCACAATTTAAAGCAACACTGTTGATTGTAAAGCATTTACCAGCAATTTACAGTACAAAATGACAGACAACAATTCTTATTACAATGCAAGAGAATGACAAGCAGCTTTCTGTAGCATGAAAGTTAACAAGTTAACAGCTCTCAGGTTGCCCATTCCTGCAAAAGAGTATGTATCAAGGTGGGCAGAGGGCAACACATTTACACACTAGAGGAAATGATCTACAGAAAATTACGCTCCAGAACTGCTAACGTTACCAAAGCTGGTACTGGCTAATATTCTGAAATGCAAATCTGCGGTTTATATATATATTGCTCAATGACACTGCCATTCAACAGAATTCCCACACTGCAAGGCAGATTAATCTTTGCCCCCGTTTGCAGAGCTTCAAATATTCCTCAAACTTTTAGAAAGTGGGAAGAAGCAAAATCAGAGCTTCTCAAAAAAAAAAAAATCTTGAACTATCAATGTTTTGAAGCTTCCTTGCTCTCTCTGGTAAATCTACTCCAAAGGTACTAGATGAGACAGTGTGGCAGCAAAGAGTACATCCCAGATTTCTGGGGCCCTTTACTAACACAGGGTACCACAGAAATCTGCTCTCTACAGCAAGAGGCCAAAGTACTTTCTAGAATTTGTGTTGCATAACACTGAGCCCCTCTCATCTTTAGCTGTTCCTATAATCACTCTAATCTCCTTAATCCCAGCAACCTTCATCCAAAATATCTATCTATCTATCTATCTATCTATCTATCTATCTATCTATCTATCTATCTATCCCCAGAAGAAAAAAACTTATTTACGAAGTCTATACAAGTATACACACCGAATTTTCTACAGGACACGCTTTGCCACAGAGGAAAGGGGGTCAAGGCTCTGACATGTCTACACATCAAGCGCCATACTGCTATGGGAGGCGTGTGTATACCAGTCTTTAGTGTCTGCTGTAGAGCACAAAGTCTTGTCATATGGCTCCTGCAATGATAGACTGCTCTTTGCTTTGGGAGTGATGATGTTTTATCTACTCAGCCCAGAAGAACTTTTTACTTGGGATTTTTTTTTTTTTTTTTTTTTTGAGATGGAGTCTCAGTCGTTGCCCAGGCTGGAGTACAGTGGTGCAATCTGCACTCACTGCAACCTCCGCCTCCCAGGTTCAAGCAATTCTCCTGCCTCAGCCTCCCCAAGTAGCTGGGACTACAGGTGCATGCTGCCATGCCTGGCTAATTTTTTGCATTTTAGTAGAGACAGGGTTTCACCATGTTGCCCAGGCTGGCTGTGAACTCCGAAGGTCAGGCAATCCACCGGCCTTGGCCTCCCAAAGTGCTGGGATTACAGACGTGAGCCACCGCACCCAGCCAGGATTGTTTTTTTAAAATACATGTATTTACAGTGTGGATGAACTGCAGTTGTATATCAACTCCTCCACATAAAGAAAAAAAAATGGTGTCTAAAATTACTAATGAGTTTTATCTTCCAGCCCTGGGCTTGAGTATTGGGTAGAAAGGGAAGAGGCTTCAACTTGAAACTAAAATGAAAAGACAAAATATTTTCAAAGAAAAAGAAAAAAGGAAAGAGTTACTATTGTTGATTCCTTGGGCTAGGTCTGAAAGATGATATTCTGAATGGTCTCACAGCATAAGGCACTTCGCACAAATAAGTAATAAGCTCTTCAGGTTTACAAAACGGTTGAGTAATCAGGAGAAGTTGAAATGCACTTGAGAGTCAGCTGTTGGAGAATTTTGAAATCATAGACAAACTTGTGTGCTCATCAAGATTCTTCTCTTTTTAGGGTTTCTCTCCTTCTCTCCTTTCTTTTCCTTCCTTGTCCCATTTCCCCAGAAAACATTTTTTAAAAACCAGTAGTTAGTGCAACTAATGTTCAGTCAGCACATAGTGCAAACAAGTGGAACCAAAAAGGTATATTCCTTCTTCTCAGCCTTTTTCTCATCACCAGTTAAAAAAGAAAAAATGTCTCAGCTCTTTTAAGTCTTCATAGTTCCAAAATAAAAGATGAAAAACCCACAAGGAGAAGAGCATTCCCCTCAAAACGATGTGTCACAGATCCAAACGAGCCGTCTGTAGTTTGTCAAAGCATGCTTTTTAAGGCTTCTCATCTTCTACAGGCTCGCTGTGGTATTCTGCCCCACACAGGCTCTTGTCAATATTGCTTGGAATAGGTTTAATTTCTGTTCCCAGCTGCTCCTCAATACTTTTCAGGTTGAAGTGATCATCATATGTGATCAAGTTGATGGCTAAGCCAGGATGACCAAAGCGACCTGATCTTCCAATACGATGGAGATAGGTCTCTGCGAGCTTTGGGAAATCAAAGTTTATTAACACATTCACACCTTGTATATCAGTACCTCGGGTAAACAGATCAGTGTAAACAAGATCGCATCATAAGCCATTTCGGAAATCATGAAATACACGATTTTGATGTTCCTGCCTCATTTTAGCATGAATATAGAAGCAAGAATAACCTAGTTGAGAAGTCTTGGCTAGCAATTCAACTTGCTGAGAGGAGTTACAGAAAATGATCGACTGGTTTATCTGAAGCCTGGAGAAAAGTGCGTTGAGGCAGTGTACTTTTTGAAGCTCAGTTATACATGCATAGTACTGGGTTACTCCCTTTAGAGTTAGTTCCTCCATCAGGTTAATCTCATAGGGTTTCTGCAAGTGGGAATTCATGAACTTCTGTACACTAAAAGGGAAAGTAGCAGAATGTAGTAAAATCTTCCTGTTTTTAGGTAGCACGATAATAATATCCTCCATTATCTGCACAAAATCCTGTGACAGCAACTTATCTGCCTGCTCATGCAATACTATCATCTGGACATGATCAACCTTTGCTACTCTTTTTTTTTTTCTTCTTCTTCTTTTGAGATGGAGTCTCCCTCTGCTGCTCAAGCTGGAGTGCAATGGTATGATCTCAGCTCACTGCAACCTCCGCCTCCCCAGGTTCAAGCGATTCTGCTGCCTCAGCCTCCTAAGCAAATGGGACTACAGTCACACGCCACCAAGCCTAGCTAATTTTTGTATTTTTAGTAGAGACAGGGTTTCGCCACATGGGCCAAGATGGTCTGGATCTCTTGACCTCGTGATCTGCCCACCTGAGCCTCCCAAAGTGCTAGGATTACAGGTGTGAGCCACCACGCCCGGGCTACTCTTTTCTTAGTAACATCCAGGATTCTCCTAGGGGTAGCAATCACTACGTGCATTGTATCATCAAGCCTAATTATGTCATCTCGTAAATTGGTTCCTCCTGTGGTTGCCATCACTTTGGCCCCTCCCATGTGTTTCCTGACCTGGACGCAAATTTGACTGACCTGTAGAGCAAGTTCTCTAGTCGGAACAAGCACCACTGCTTGTATATTGTGCTTCTTCAGATCTCGCCGTTCAAGTAAGGGAATGAGGTAGGTTCTGCTCTTGCCTGTTCCATGTTTTGCTCTAGCTAAGATATGCCTACCAGATAAAGCAATGGGAATGCTCTCCTCCTGAACAGGAGGTGGCTTTTCCCAGCCCATTTCAAAAATTCCCTTCAGTAACTCCCGTTTCAAACAATAATCTTCAAACTCATTTTCTTGTTTGGAGTGTGGAGGGCACTTCCGAAGTTTTGATTCTTAGATCCTTTGGAGGGAGTTTTATAGTCTTTTTCCAGTCGTCACCAGGCCTAATAGTGGTGGTCATACACTGTGCTTGCTACTGGGTGCCATTATTGATTGTGCTAGTGTTTTTTAGCTGGTTCATCTGTTGCTGTGTCTGGGTGCCCCCTCCTCCAGGGCCACTAATGGGTTTCACAGGGCCCCTCCGCTGACCATTTTGACTGGACAGACCCATTATAACAAGGTTCTCTGTTCTGGCCGTGCTCATGCTGTTTTAGTTGCAAAGGTGTCTTTCAAACTTCAAAATTTTGAAAGTCAGTAGAGAAGTTCTAATAACAGTTTATTAGGCTCTCCAAAATGAAGAGAAAAATATAAGTCTTGCTGAATAAATGAGTCCCTGTTGCAATGCAGGCAAGCACCTGTAAGTCTCTGAACAGTAAGCAGCAACTTTGCTCTCTTGCACGGAATCAGCTTTTTATTTTTGAAAAGCCCTCTATGAAGCTTGAGTTACATCTGAATTCGCTCACGTCAATTAACGAGGCCGCTCGGAACCCTTGGTCCTTTATTGTTGACTTGAAGCTCCCCAAATCTATATTTAGTCTTAACTATCACATTTGATCTTAGTTCTTTCAGTTGCTTCTCACTTAGCGCTGCATTCTTTAGTATGGTAAATTACGTATAAATTTATTTATTTATTTTTAACATTTTATTTTAAGTTTTAGGGTACATGTGCACAATGTGCAGGTTTGTTACATATGTATACATGTGCCATGTTGGTGTGCTGCACCCATTAACTCGTCATTTAGCATTAGGTGTATCTCCTAATGCTATCCCTCCCCCCTGCCCCCACCCCACAATAGTTCCCGGTGTGTGATGTTCCCCTTCCTGTGTCCATGTGTTCTCATTGTTCAATTCCCACCTATGAGTGAGAAGGTGTGGTGTTTGGTTTTTTGTCCTCGCAATAGTTTGCTGAGAATGATGGTTTCCAGTTTCATCCATATCCCTACAAAGGACATGAACTCATCCTTTTTTGTAGCTGTATGGTATTCCATGGTGTATATGTGCCACATTTTCTTAATTCAGTCTATCATTGTTGGACATTTGGGTTCGTTCCAAGTCTTTGCTACTGTGAATAGTGCTGCAATAAACATATGTGTGCATGTGTCTTTATAGCAGCATGATTTATAATCCTTTGGGTATATACCCAGTAATGGGATGGCTGGGTCAAATGGTATTTCTAGTTCTAGATCCCTGAGGAATCGCCGCACTGACTTCCACAATGGTTGAACTAGTTTACAGTCCCACCAACAGTGTAAAAGTGTTCCTATTTCTCCACATCCTCTCCAGCACCTGTTGTTTCCTGACTTTTTAATGATTGCCATTCTAACTGGTGTGAGATGGTATCTCATTGTGGTTTTGATTTGCATTTCTCTGATGGCCAGTGATGGTTAGCATTTTTTCATGTGTTTTTTGACTGCATAAATGTCTTCTTTTGAGAAGTGTCTGTTCATATCCTTTGCCCACTTTTTGATGGGGTTGTTTGTTTTTTTCTTGTAAATTTGTTTGAGTTCATTGTAGATTCTGGATATTAGCCCTTTGTCAGATGAGTAGGTTGCAACAATTTTCTCCCATTCTGTAGGTTGCCTGTTGACTCTGATGGTAGTTTCTTTTGCTGTGCAGAAGCTCTTTAGTTTAATCAGATCCCATTTGTCAATTTTGGCTTTTGTTGCCATTGCTTTTGGTGTTTTAGACATGAAGTCCTTGCCCATGCCTATCTATTAAATAAGATACGTAACAATTGTAAAATATGTTGTATGGGTTGTCTACTAATTTTACTATTATTTTAAATAATTGATGCTTTTAATCAACATTTTAATTTAAAAAATAAAATAATCAACAGAATTTTTTATTTAGTATTGATGTTACTAATTTAAATATATTGTTCTTTCAACATCAGTGAACTAACATATTCTATAAAAGGTAGAAGAAGGTTCATTTTCATGTTTGCTGCATGTTCTATTTTCTGACCTGACAGACTTACAGAAATCTTGAGCATCGATTTCCTTTGCATAGGTCATCTCTTTTTCTTTCATGACTTTAGCATCAATTTGTATGTTAGTTTTTACTTCAGTTAGGGAGAGTTTGTTTGTCTGTTTAGCTATCTTCATGAAGTTTTTGTGTAACTAATAATGGTTTCATTATCAGACAGCGTTAACATTGATACATTCTTAAATATCATTTTAAAAGGATTTTATGACAAAAATGATGGAATAAACCTAATATTTTGTAAGCCTATTTGGGAAATACTGAAAACTATCTAAATATATGATAGAACAAGAACTATACATACAATATAAATGAATATGTGTATATATATATGTTTTCTGAATAAGGGTATTTAATTTCAAGGGGAAATCATGCTTAACATGGTGCTTGCTCTGCAGTAATAAAATATTTTTAAACTGTGGATGTAATTTTTGAATAAGGGTATTCAAAATAATAATAAATTATATTTTAAACTTGACCTTTGTTTATTGAATATATTTATCATTGGCTTAATTTTAGCATGTAGATAGCATATAGATATATTTTTGTTAACATGAAACATTAGAGAACAAAATTGTGACACAAAGATGATTTTGACAGACTAGAAAAATAGACCACATCTGACAAGTGACCTCTAATAACTGCAAGTGAAAGCCATGAAATTAATTTCAAAGAACCAAATGGCCGTAACAGCAGATTATATTAAAACAAAAATTCTTATGGACTTCAGTTGACACAAACATCAATGACTTAACATTTTGACGTAAATGCCGAAGTAGTTCATGTGACTTTAGTCTAAATTAGTAGAAGCGCAGTGGTCAGCATAAAATGCATGGCAGACCTGCCAGTTTTCTTCTTTAGACTGACCGTGTTACTTATTTCCTTTTTGTTGGACCATGTTTATTGGCATTGACAAGGCTGGACCTGCTACGAAGTAACTGGATTCAATTTGAGAGACTCCAAACATTCTCGTAGGCAAAGGACAAAGAGATGGCAAGATTAGCTTACCTGTTGTAAGGAAGAAATAAAAAAGACACAAATAGACTTAACAATCAGAATTTGGTGAAATTGTGTAGAGGATGCAATCACAGTTACAGTAATAGCATCTCTGCACCATCACGTGATAAGTGTCTGCAAAATTTTAAACCATCTTTCCTGAATATGGTTTTGCATTTTATTAAAACTTTGCAAACAGAAATAAGTCATTGCTTAACAAATGAATATTTTTAATTCTTATCCAAAATACTTAAAATTACAATAATATAGAATATGAATTACTAAACATGTTTTAATATTTTTAATAGTTTATAAATTCATAAACAGCATGAGTCCTAGAAGAGAACAAAAATATCTACTATAAAATTTTTGTGCATTTTACCTTATAAAAAATATATTGCAAAGTCGTATTTTACCATCATAAATACAATTCTAATGAGCAGAAATTAAATCTGTCAGGCGAATGTATTGAATAAACCTACATTCATAGTTTATTGTTCTTTGTCTTTACTGTTGATGTAAGCTTTTGTTTCCTGACACTTTGGATCCCCCTTCACAGCTTTTGCTCTGTCTCTCAGAAATGTGTAGGATAAATGTGGCAGGAAAAATTAACCTGCATGTCTCCTTCCCACTGCAGGGCCTAAAATAAGCGCTTTACACTTTGAAGTCCCCGAAAATAAATGATAAATAATATAAAATGCAGATCAAAATGCAAAGACATAGGCATGGACTTAGCAATTTAATAAAAAGTAATTGCAGGTCTGTGAAGCACCAGTAGGTCTTAAAACCCTGGCAGTGGAGAAGGTCAAACCTGGAATTCCAGCCAAATTCCACTCTCTTAAGTCAGGCATGTTTCTGAACCATTCATGGTTTCAACTGTAAAATGGGAGTGTTTTAAATAAGTTATTCATGTCATAAGCATAGTAAAATTGCTGGTATATATTAAATTATGAATTAATATTAGTTTTTTATCATTATTATTATGTCAATATATTCACAACTGATATACTTTATTTCCTGGGTTCTTATGAGAATGAAGATAATATTGAAGGGGTATAAAATTTATATATTGTGAATCCTTTAAAAGATAAAAGACTAATTAATCTTTGCTTTTATTAAAACTTTCTAATTTTTTTTTCAAATATATATGCATCTCTAAATAAGTTTCCAAAAGTTTTGGGACTTCTAGAATTAGTTGCTGCTAATATATAAAATAACAGAGTTAATATTTAAAGTTCCAACTTCTAAAATAGTGTTTGCCACACATGTAAATGTTATATACTATAGTTAGAACTTAGATAAATATAAAAAATTGAAAATAGCAATATTGATCTTTGAAAATGCAGATCATTTGAAACACTAAGCCTTTGGCATTTACAAAAAACAAAACTGGATAAGGCTATGTTTAAATATTTTTAACTGTTTTATTGGATTAGTCTATAGGTTGTAAATAAATTTATATTACCATTCTTTTAAGTTGCTGTGTTCAAACCATATTCAAATGTAATCAAAAGGGATTACAACTTGTAGGTTGTAAATACATTTATATTAGCATTCTTTTAAGTTACTCTGTGTTTTTAGTACTTTCTGTTCATTTTTCACAGTAAAACTATATTCTACAGTAATAATATGCTGTAGTTTCAGGACTTACTTGATATTTTTGCTTTTTATAGGTTACCAAGTTATCAAAATGTGTATATAAAATTTAAGAAATGAAGAATATGTCGTCTCCCCCCAAATAAAACAATTACTTGAGAGTTGCATAAATTAGCACTTGCTTTAAAATCCACAAGATTTTTAAAAATTTAATGAATCTGCAAAAGTTGATCAAACTGACATTTATAATTATTCCTTACCAACATTAAAGGCTAATAAAATAATTTTAAAAGACTTTAAATTTATCTACTCTTAAACTGTAACTTATCAGACTAAGGCAGGTAATAAGAAGCACACATATAGTTATTATGTAGGTTACCTTATTATTAGTTGCATAAAACTATGATCTGAAGAAAAAATTATAAGTTCAGATTCACACAGACTAGATGGAGAAACAGTGTTTGAAAATATAAGTGATTGTAATAATTTTTACTAGATAGTGGTAAAGGAAGAGATTTTATGGGCCGAAATGAGAAATTTAAGAAAAGTAATAGTCTGAAAATTCCAGTGTCAGTGGCAAAAATAATCAATGACACAAACTATGTGTAAAATAGCAATAAATGACAATTGGAACCACATAAGCTAGTCAATGGAGTTCCTCAAATGCCTAAGCACCTATCATTGAAGAATGGGAAACTTTTAAGGAGCCAAAGTAAATAAAAACACAGCATATGTGTTGCTTTTGAGAAAAGAGACTGAACATAAGGAGACTATTTAAGACACTATTGCAACGGTCCCGGTGAGATAAAACTAAGAATATGAATTAGTGTTGTAATTGTAGGACTAGAAATGAGAGAAGAGTGTAACTACATATGTAAATTCCACAGGTCTTGGCTGTTTGTATTCCCCTGAAAAGGGAAGATTGAGAAATATGAGGCAGAGACACCAAGCAAATAGGAAGGAGAAATCCCAACATTGCTAGCATTCTCAGCAATGCTTGTTTTTCTTTCTTCAGTTGGAAAACAAGACATTTGTTAAATTATGTCTCTCCTCTTTCCTTTTCCTTTCCCCGTTCTTTCTCTCTTCCTACCTGCACACAACTACACAGACATAGGCATGCACACATACTCACACACGTAAGCAATTACAATCAATATAATAGCAGTCATCATCCTCACTGCCACCATCACCACCACCATCTTTAAACCCTGCCATCCTGTTTCAGATTAATAATGTTAAAAGAAAAAAACCTTTCTACAGTTAAATTTTACAGAGTTTAATTGAGCAAAAGACAATTCACAAACCAGGCAGCCTTCAAACAAGATTAGATTCAGAGATACTCCAGCACTGTCCCATGGTCATAGAGTGTCTATGAACAGGAAAAGGAAAGTGACATGCAGAAAACAGAAGTGAGGTATAGAAACTGCTGGATTGGTTCCAGCTCAGAGTTTGCCTTATTTGAGTATGGTTTGAACAGTTGGCCACCTTTAATTGGCTGAAACTTGGTGATTGGTACAAGAGTAGGTTGCAGTCTGTTTACACATCCAGTTAAGATACTGTTCACTATGCACAGAAAAACCTTTACTGAACTTAAAATATGGATGAGGAGAGACATTTAATGTGGAAAACAGGGAGCCCGGGTGGGGCGGGTGGCTCATGCCTGTAATTCCAGTGCTTTGGGAGGCCGAGGTGGGAGGATTGCTTGAGGCCAAGAGTTGGAGACCACATAGCGAGACCCTGTCTCTACAGTTTTAAGAAAATTTACTTAAAAAATGTAAAAGAGGCTGTGCACGGTGGCTCATGCCTGTAATCCCAGCACTTTGGGAGGCAGAGGTGGGTGGATCACCAGAGGTCAGGAGTTTGAGACCAACCTGGCCAACACAGTGAAACCCCATCTCTACCAAAAAATACAAAAATTGGCCGGGCATTGTGGCGTGCTCCTGTAGTCCCACTACTCAGGAGGCTGAGACAGGAGGATCGCTTGAACCTGGGAGGCAGAGGTTGCAGTGAGCCGAGATTATGCCACTGTACTCTAGCCTGGGGGACAGAGTGAAACTTCATTGAAAGGAAGAAAGAGAGAAAGAGAGGAAGAAGGGAAAGAACGGAAAGAAAGGGGAAAAAAAGGAAGAAATGGAAGAATCACCTAGAAAAGAAAGAAAGAGAGAGAGAGAGAGAGAAGGGAGGGAGGGAGGGGGGATGGAGGGAAGGAAGGAAGGAAAGAAAGAAAGAAAAGGGGAGGGGAGGGGAAGGGAAGGGAAGAAAGGAAAGAAAAAGGAAGAAATGGAAGAATCCCCTTTACTTGGTCTCTTAGAAAGGACCTGTCCAGCCAGAAAATCAGAGCCTGGCAAAAGCACTGCACTCAACTGCTGATAACTTCTGTGTTCTTTGTGGCTTTGATTTCTTTGGTTCTGGAAGAATTCAAAAGAGCATTCATTCATTTAAACAAATAGACTATATCAAGCTTTTCTTTTTCTTTTTTTAAGTCAGAGTTTTTGGAAGGAAATGAAACCCTTGTATCCTGGAGAATCATGCACTGTTGCCAGTTAGCTTTGCAGTCTGTGGCAGGCCGGGCATCTGCATGTTTGCCCAGTTGAGGCTTGGTGTGTCAGCACTCCATGATAAGGGATGCTTGGGCTTTGGGATTGTATGGATCTGGGCCCAGATCCTCACTAGGCACCTACAAGCTGTGTGACCTTGGGCAGGTTAGTCAACCTGTCTGTGCCGTGAGTTACTGTAAGCTCTAGCTGTTATTTGGGAGAGTTTTGAGGCCAGGGCACTTGGGAGTCCCTTACTTGCAAAGTCATTTCTGGGGATGCTATACTGGGAGCAGCCTCCATGTGATCCACGTCCTTTGAGGGTTTCTTTCTTTTATATCTGAACAGTCTTGGCCTTTGCTTTTCAGACGTAGCTATGCTTTACTTTGGGGGAAACATAAAGAACCTGAATTAAGACAGATTTGTAAGACCTTGTCATCGGTTAGTGCCTCTGTTAAACTTTTAGTCTTGATTTTTTAATGTGGTATCTTTGATTTTTAAAAAAATCCCATGATATGAAAAATCCCACAAGAGCAGACACTATCAACTGATCCAGCACTTGAGATATTTTATTTCTTATTAAGAATTACTGTTTAAGTATTTTTTTCTAAGCAGAAACAATAATCCACAGCAGATTCATCTTTAAAAAAAAAAAAAAGAAGAAGAAGCAGTGAAACCAACCCAATCGTCCCATAGTTTTTGTTGTTGTTGTTGTTTTCAGATAAACATAGAAATTGACTTTTCTGGTCTTAAAGCTTAAAACTTAATTTATCTGAGTTCCTTCCTCAGGGAAGGACCCCCAGGCCTCTTAGAAAAAAAAAGGATCAAAGAACTGAAACTCATCAGATCACCACATCTAGACAATGAGATGCCAGAGCCCTCATTCATCATGATTGCTTCCTTGCTCCTCCCTAGTTCTTGTTTTCTTACACATTGTCACATTTCTTCCCTGCTGTATAAACCCCTAGTTTTTGTCTGTCTGGGAGGTGGATTTGAGACTGATCCCATCTCCTCCTGGCTGCAGCACTCGATTAAGATTAGAGCCTTCTTCCCTGGTAATACTCATCAGTTCAGTAATTGGCATTCTGTGTGGTGAGCAGCAAGACCTACACCAAACCCTTGATGTTTCTGTAACAACAGCAGAACTTAAAAATGTGCTTGAATTTAAACCACATTAACCTGGAATGCATACTAATCAGAGATAAATTCCAGTATTCCTTTCAGGAAAGAGAGGAACTGCAGTCCTTAATTTCAATGGAAAGTTGGAGAAAGAGCTCTTTATTATGTCTCAGTCATACTGCAGTACATAAAGGCGGCTGCTCCTCTGTCTCTTGCATTGTATCCAAATAGTCTCATGTCAGTAATATGTATGTTGCACCTTCAGGACTAAAATGCAAGAATAGCAGCCTGAGTCCTTCAAAAGAAGAATAGGCTAACAATGATTTAAGATTATGCTGTTTTTTTAAAAAAAATCCTTCCCAGAGTTTAAAATAATAAATGCTAACTCAAGCATACACTTTTCTATCTAAAATGACACTGTTGCCTGCTAAGAAAGGGGATGGATGAAGCACTTAATCAGAGAGGTCATTATGTTGTCAAAGGCAATGCCAAGGCTGAAGGACTGGATTCTCATGGGCATATAACCATTTTATTGCTTTTCAGCCCACGGCCGCCAATCCCACTCTCGCTCCTGCTGACAGAAGAGGAAGCAGCCCTCTACATTCAATCCTTCTGGAGAGCCTGTGTGGTAAGAATCATATGCGACTGTGGTATTTGATTTAATGGGGAACTTTTGTGAGGTGGAGGGTCCAGGGTAAACCTTAGATGAGTTAGGAACAGGATATTATAGCTAACATCCAGACCTCAGAAATACGATTCTCTGTAAAATGGGTCTTAAAAAGTGATTTAGAATTTTTACTGAAACTGGCTGGGCATAGTAGCTCATGGCTGTAATCCCAGAACTTTGCAGGGGCCAAGGTGGGAGGATCACTTGAGCCCAGGAGTTCAAGACCAGCCTGGGCAACATGACGAAACCTCGTATCTGCCAAAAAAAAAAAAAGAAAAAAGAAAAAGAAAAAAAAATACAAAACTTAGCCCATGTGGCGCACATCTGTAGTCTAGCTGCTGTTGGGAGGCGGAGGTGGGAGGATGGCTTGAGCCCAGGACGCAGAGGTTGCAGTAAGTGGGGATTGTGCCACTGCACTCCAGCCTGGGAGACAGAGAGATACCCTGTCTCCAAAAAAAAAAAAAAAAAAAAAAAAAACACAAAGACTTTTTACCAAAACTTATTTTGTAGTTATTAAAAGTACTGTCTTAACCTTTTAAAGTTGGGTTGACTGGCCTGTATTGATATATACAAAGAAAAAACTACATTGTCATTTTAGAAAAAAAAACTGGAAAATTCACGTAAGTCGAATAAAATAAATAAAAATTTTTGAGTCACTGATAACTCCGTCACCAAAAGATAATTATTGTTAACATTTTGGTATAAAACTACAAACTTTAAAAATCTGAATTCACATAGTGACGTATAAATACTTAACATAGAAAATAGCCTCTGCCTTTATAACTTGTCTTTTTTAACCATTTTTCTATTTGAGACTTTGAGGTTATTTACAGTATTTTTTATTGTTGTAATAAATGCTGCAGTAGACACCTTTGTGCAGTCATTTTTGCGCATTCGTCTGCTCATTTGTATAGGAGAATCCTAGAAGTGGAATTTCTAGATGAAAAGGTAAGCTTTTTTTAAAGCTCCTGATCCTGGCTGTGCAAGATGACTCATGCCTGTAATCCCAGCACTTTGGAGGGACAAGGTAGGAGGATCTCTTGAGGCAGGAGTTAGAGACCAGCCTGGGCAACATAGTGAGACCCTGTCTCTACAAAAAAATACAAAAATGGGCCAGGTGCAGTGGTGGGCATCTGTAGTCCCAGCTAATTGGGAGGCTGAAGCAGGAGGATCACTTGAGCCAAAGAGGTCAAGGCTGCAGTGAGATATGATTGTGCCACTGTACTCCAACGTGGGTGACAACTGGGTGACAAAGCAAGACCCTGTCTCAAAAAAAAAAAAACTCCTGATAATATTGTCTTGTGGAAGAAGTTCTCACCAAATACATATGAGAGTAGCATGTGTATCTCATTCCAAAAAGTATACAACCTCTCCAATTATTTGGCAATTAGTGTATCAATGTTAACAAGCTTCCATGAAGCTCCCATTCTAGGTAGCAAGATGACTTTCCCTGAATCTGAGCATCAGATATCATGGAATGAGCTTACATTTAACATCAGCAGTGGCAAACACTGCCAGAGGGAAAGGTCCCAGTGGATTTCCATAGAGGCCAAAGCTCTTCATACTCCATACACAGCTGGTGTAGGAAAAAGAGACTCTGAAAAACACACCAGCAAAAAGCTATCAGTTAAGAAGTTGGATTAATCCTAACAAGCTACAATTAATCAACAAATATTTGCTACATGCCCATTAGTGGAACTGTCCCTGAACACAAGAGCTTACTGTATGAGTCAATATTGTCCAGTTATTCCATTCCTTTTGTACATGGTACATTCCAGAAACCATGGGCTAAAGGGAAGTGTGAAAGTTAAGTAACATATTTGCACATTAAAGGAGAAGTCTATGCCCAAAGAGTTAAAACAAACAAACAAACAAACAACAACAACAACAAAAAAACCACCCTGTTACAGAAACCCCTATTATTCCCCGTGATTTAGACATAGTTTTTTATAATGTAGGTTTTCAGTATTTCATACATATTTTATAAATGTGGTCTTTTTTCTTCATTGAACACCAGAAGGTTAGCTTACATCCAGGGATGTCTAACCAAAGCAAAATATTCCTGGCGTTCAGATACTACTTGAATTCCATCTTTGATTTGTGAGACTTATACTTGTTACACTAGAATCAGCAATTTTACTTTTCTATTTTTATGAAATGTTAAGAGCAGACTGTGAGTGGTGGCTCACACCTGTAATCCCAGCACTTTGGGAGGCCAAGGCAGGCAGATCTCTTGAGGTCAGGAGTTTGAAACCAGCCTGGCCAGCATGGTAAAACCCTATCTCTACTAAAAATACAAAAACTAGCTGGGCATGGTGGCATATGCCTGTAATCCCAGCTACTTAGGAGGCTGAGGCACGAGAATCGCTTGAACCCAGGAGGTGGAGGTTGCAGTCAGCTGAGATTGTGCCACTGCATTCCAGCCTTGGTGACAGAGTGAGACTCTGTCTCAATAAAGAAAAGGTAAGAGCAAAGTGCAATAAGATAGTCATTTTCAAGCCCGTCCTTGAAACAGGTGTGTGCTGTCAAACGAAATCATACCCAGAAGCCCAGTATGTAACCAGTATGTAACAGTAAAAGGGGAACTGTTTGTCCCTGATTCTCCCATGGTAAGATTCCACCCACCCTCATCCTTCCACACACAAGGAGCTTTGGGATTCGTTCTTAGTGATATGAATACAGCATAAAGCAGTCTGTAAGACAGCTGAATTCTACTTGTCATACCAACAAACGCTGCCATATAAACAGATGTCAAAGTGGCTCGAAATTTAACTGTGGCTATAGCACCATCATCACACAATAGCTATAAATGTGTTTATAGCTAAAAAGATGTTTAGGGGGGTATCAGTGTATACTGTATGAAAGTTCAGGCTGTTCAAATCTAAACACCTCCCCTGCTAAAATCATAACCAGAGGGGGCTACAAAAGGGGGAACAATTTTGAGCCATCACTAGAAGGAAAAGATGCCTGATGTATGGATGACCTTAGAAGGCACCACAGAAAAGAGGGACTTCCTGAGTTTTAAAGAGGAGGTGGGCACTGGTATGTCAGCTGGGACCAAGAGGGTATTCTGGGGAGAGGAAACAGCATACATACATTGTCAAAAGAAAAACTTTAGACAAAATTAACAGAAGTTATTTGAGCAAAGAACAATTCATGAATTAGGCAGCACTCAGAACCAGGAGAGAGGTTCAGAGAGCTCTACCCAGCAACCTAGGCAGGCCTTATTTATAGACAGAAAGTGGAAATGACATCCAGAAACAGCTTGATTGGTTACAGCTTGGCATTGCCTAATATGGACGTGGTCTCATCAGTTGGCAGCCTGCAATTGACTGAAGCTTGTCTACTGTGATTGGCTGAGACTCAGCTACTTGTTACAAAAATGTACTCTCGTAGATTGCAGTTTATGATCCATGGAGGCAGGTTTAGGCCGCATTTAATTTAATACTATTATGCCATTTTTTGTTAA
This sequence comes from Homo sapiens, assembly GCF_000001405.40. Classification (NCBI taxonomy): domain Eukaryota; kingdom Metazoa; phylum Chordata; class Mammalia; order Primates; family Hominidae; genus Homo; species Homo sapiens. Next base: position 86,263,333 of record NC_000013.11, on the reverse strand, counting down.
AGCATATTGTATATTTTGAATACATGCACACACACACGGATAGGAAATTAGCTAAAAGGAAACAGCAATCTGACAACAGTGAGTACCTTGGGGCAGTTGGGAAAGAACTAGGAAGACTCTAGCCTTATGTATACTGAACACCTTTTTTTTTTTTTTTTTTGAGACGGAGTTTTGCTCTTGTTGCCCATGCTGGAGTGCGGTGGCGTGATCTCAGCTCACTGCAACCTCCACCTCCTGGGTTCAAGCGATTCTCCTGCCTCAGCCTACCGAGTAGGTGGGATTACAGGCGCCTGCCACCACACCCAGCTAATTTTTGTATTTTTAGTAGAGACCGGGGGGGGCGTTTCACCATGTTGGCCAAGCTGGTCTCGAACTCCTGACCTCAGGTGATCCACCTGCCTCGGCTTCCCAAAGTGCTGGGATTACAGGCGTGAGCCACTGCACCCGGCCACACTGAACACATTTTTTTACAAAGAGAATGTAGTATGATTTTGTTTAATTAAAAATGAACTTAAACCAGAGATCATCTCAATGGATATAGAAAATGCATTTGTTAAAAATGTTTTCATGACAAAAACACTTAACAAACTGGGAATAGAAGGGGATTTCCTCAACCTGATAAAGTTATGAAAACCACAAAGATAACATCACATTTAATGGTGAAAGACTGGATATTTTCCTCCAAGATTAGGAACAAGAGGAGGATGTCCTCTCTTGCCACTTCAGTTTAACATAGTACTGGTAGTTCTAGCCAGGAAAAGTAGGCAAGAAAAAGAAATAAAAGCATTTGGATTGGAAACAAAAAAGTAAATATATTTCCAGTCATAGGTGACATGATCTTATATATAGAAAATTGTAAAGATTCACTAAAAACAACCTGTTAGAACTAATAAACAAGGTTGCAGGATACAAGATCAGTATACAAAATCAACTGAATTTCTATACACTTAGCAATGAACAATCTGAAAATGAAATTAAGAAAATAATTCCATTTGCAATGGCATCTAAAAGAATAAAATATTAGGAATAAATTTAACAGAAGTGCAAGGCTTGCATGCTGAAAACTACAAAACATTGAAAGATATTAAAGAAAACCTAATCAAATGGAAAGACATCCTGTGTTCATTGACTGGAAGACTTGATATTGTTAAGATAACAGTACTCCCCACATTGATCTACAGATTCAACACAATGCCTATCGAAATCTCAGTTGGGTTTTTTTTTTTTTTGTTTGTTTGTTTTTTTTTGTGAAATTAACAAGCCAGTCCTAAAATTCGTATGAAGATGCAAAGGGACCCAAAACAGCCAAAACAATCTTGAAAAAGAAGAACCAAGTTGGAGGACTCACCTTTCCCTATTTCAGAATTTACTGCAAAGTGCAATAATCAAAACTGAGTAGTACTAACATAAGGATAAATGTGTATATAAATGGAATAGAATTGAGAGTCCAGAAACAAACTCTTACATTTATGGTCAACTGACTTCCAACAAGGGTGCCAAGACCATTTAATGGGGGAAAGAATAGTCCTTTGAACAAATGATGCTGGAACAACTGGATATTCACATGCGAAAGAATGAAGTTAGACCCTTACTTCATATCTTATACAAAAAATTAACTCAAAATTAATTAAATATCTAAATGAAAGTGTGAAAACTATAAAAATATTAAAAGAAAGCATGGATGTAAATTTTCATGACCTTATATTAAGCAATAGTTTATATAACAAAAAGCAAAAGCAACAAAAGGAATAAAATAGATAACTTGGACTTCATCAAATTAAAAACACATTTTGTGCTTCAAAGAACATCATGAAGTGAGTGAAACAAGAACCTACAGAACGGGAAAAAATATTTGCAAGTTCAGGCATTCGATAAAGGTCCCGTATTTATAATATATAAAGAACTCTCACAACCCAACAGTAAAAGTACAAATGATCCAGTTAGAAAATTGGCGAAGGATTTGAGTAGACATCTCTCCAAAGAATATATACAAATGGCCAATAAACATGAAAAGATGCTCAACATCACTAGTCATAAGGAAATACAATCAAAACCACAATGAGATATCACTTCATATCCACTAGCATGGCTATAATCAAAAAGACAGTAACACAATAACAGGTGTTGGTGAAAATATAGAGAACTTGGAACCTCCATACACTGCTGATGAGAATGTAAAATGGTGCAGCCACTTTGGAAAAGAGTTTGGCAGTTCCTTAAAGAGTTAAACATAGAGTATCCACCTTATATCCAGCAGCTTCACTCTTAGGTATATATTTAAGATAACTAAAAAACATCTGTCCACACAAACACTTGTGCATGAATGTTCATAGAAGCATTATTCGTAGTAGCCAAAAAATGGAAACAGCTCAAATGCCCATCAACTGATGAAAGGAGAAAAAAAAAATGTGGTACGTTCATATATGAAAAGAAAATACTGTTACATGCTAAAAAACGGGTGAATCCTTAAAACATTATGCTAAGTAAAACGAGGCCGGGCACAGTGGCTCATGCCTGTAATCCCAGGACTTTGGTAGGCCGACGTGGGCGGATCACCTGAGGTCAGGAGTTCAAGACCAGCCTGGCCAACATGGTGAAACCCCATCACTACTAAAAAAATGCAAAAATTAGCCGGGCATGGTGGTGGGCGCCTGTAATCCCAGCTACTCAGGAGGCTGAGGCAGGAGAATTGCTTAAACCCAGGAGGCGGAGGTTGCAGAGAGCCGAGATCGCGCCATTGCACTCCAGCCTGGGCGACAGAGCATGACTCCGACTCAAAAAAAAAAAAAACTAGAAAAACATGTTATGCTAAGTAAAAGGAGCTAGAGAGAAAAGTTCGCATTTTTACATGTAAATGATTCCGCTTAAATGAAATATCCAGAATAGAGAAATCTATAGATGAAACTAGATTAGTGGTTGTCAGGGGCTGGAGAAAGGGGAGAATCAGTGACTTCAAATGGCTACAGGGCTTCTTTTTGGAGTGATAAAATGTTCTGGACTTAGAGAGTGGTGACGGTTGAACAGGTTTGTGAATATAAGAAAACCACTGAATGGTAAACTTTAAACGGGTGAATTTTGTGTCATGTGAATTATATAAGAGAAAATGAACAAATATTATGGGGAAAAATATAAAGCAAGTCATCCTTTTATTCCTTTTGACCATGTGTTCTTTCGATACAAGTTCTTGATTTTTGACCTGGTTTTGGCAGTAAAAAGTAAACGTCCTATGACTAGCAGAAGGGACTTTCGGGAATTCACGAAATGAATCTCGAAGCTTCCTTACTCTGTCCTTACCCACTGCCATGTAGGTTTTACTAGATTTGCCAGCAACAAAAACTTTTACTTATATTCTCTCAAATGCCCTGAAGGAAAAATAGAGTCTTTCTACAAGTTTTTTGTTTTTTTTTTTTTGGTGTGTGTGTGTGTATAGCAAAATGTACCTAACAGAATTTACCGTCTTAATTTTTAGGTGTACATTTCAGTGGCATTAAGTACATTCACAACATAATGCAACCATGACCACCATCCATATCCTTTTTCCTCTTTCTCAACTGAAACTATGTACCCATTCAATAATAACTTCTCATTCTCCCTCCTCCTAGCCCCTGGCAATCACCATTGTATTCTCTGTCTATGAATTTGACGACTCTAAGTATGTTATATAAAGGAGGTCATATAGTGTTTGTCTTTTTGGGACTGGCCTATTTTATTGAGCCTAATGTCCTCAAGGTTGTTACATCCATGTTGTAGCATGTGTCAGAATATTCTTCCTTTTGAAGGCTGAATAATCTTCATGCCATGAAGTTTTAAAATCCAGAAATCTGACATCTTCACCCATCTAACACAAAACTAGCCAGACGTCTCATAAAAATATTAATATATTTTAACCAACCGCAGTAACAGAGATGTCATGTGATCTGAAAGGCTATTTGTAGTGAACCATTCTTGGTAGCTGTGATTTTGGAATTAGCATTCTAAATAGGTCCTGGATATTTATGACTACACATTAAGCACTTCTGTAGAAGTGGACATTCTCTTCGTTCGTTCGTTTATTTATTTATTTATTTATTTAGACAGGGTTTTGCTCTGTCTTACAGGCTGGAGTGCAGTGGCGTGATCTCAGCTCGCTGCAACCTCTGCCTCCCGGGTTCAAGCTATTCTCCTGCCTCAGCCTCCTGAGTAGCCGGGATTACAGGTGCATACCACCACACCTGACTACTTTTTGTAGTTTTAGTAGAGACAGTGTCTCACCATGTTGGCCAAGCTGGTCTCAAACTCCTGGCCTCAAGTGATCCGCCCTTCTCAGCCTCCCAAAGTGCTGGGATTACAGGTGTGAGTCACTGCACCCGGCCTGTTTCTTCATTCAGAATTCGAGTCTAGTGGTTGAAAAGTCAGATTGTTTGGGTGGTCAAGGCGGTAGATCACCTGAGGTCAGGAGTTTGAGACCATTGAGATCAACCTGACCAATATGGTGAAACCCCATCTCTACTAAAAATACAAAAATTAGCTGGGCGTGGTAGCGGGCACCAGTAATCCCAGCTATTGGGAGGCTGAGGCAGGAGAATCGCTTGAACCTGGAAGGTGGAGGTTGCAGTGAGCCAAGATCGTGCCATTGCACTCTAGCCTGGGGGACAAAAGCGAGACTCTGTCTCAAACAAAGAAAGAAAAGTCAGATTGTTTCAATGTGCAAAAACTGAGTGTTAGTTTTTAATGTTGTGAATGAATTCTGGTCCTCTTCTGAAAACTCTCCTTTTCCAAGTGTGATTGGTGATAAGTCACGCACTTTTGCATCACTGGTGTTCTTTGGTTTATGAAATCTTGGATACAATTGGTAAGAAAAAAAACCTTGCTTTCTTGTGAAGTTCAAATATAAGGTTCTTATGGGCCATCATGATGGAAATTTCTTTAATGATTTTAGAAGTAGAGACCAGATAAATCCACTGAATATTTATTCCGTCTAAATAAGCGCCCGTGGTGTTTTATGCCTTCTACTCATTTGTTTTGTTTTATTCTAACTCAGCAGAGTCACCCAGGGTGGCATGCATTAGCAATCCTCCCCTCGTCCCAACATCAGCTCCCCTTCCAGGCATTGTGACAACTGAGAATTACGAAGTCCATCAATCATTACCCGTTATTTGATGAACAATACAGTGCCAGGTTGCTGCAGCAGCCCCTTTGAGGCCTTGCAAAAAAAAAAAAAAAAAAAAAAAACCAATAAAATAAAATAACGGAGATTTCTGATCTCCACTTGCAGAGAACAATAAGAATCTGTGCATTGGGCGAACTAGGGTAAATGAGGGAACCCCCAAGGAGAAACAGCTTGGTATCAGCAGAGTACAAGGTTGAGGGTGGGACAGATCTCACCCTAGATGTGGAGGGGCTGTGGCAGCCTGGACACGTATTCCATCCTTCTGGCTATAGGACTTAGTTCATGATGGGCAGCAGACGGAAATCAGCCCAGTCAGACCTAGTGAGACTCCATTCTGGGATCCTCAGTGGAGTGGCTGGGACAGAGCAGCCCTCTTTGCACTGGGGTTACCGTGAGGCCAGACTGTCAGCACCATCTTAACACAGTGTGAAGAGCCTGTTGGAAAAATGACCACAGAGGCAAGCAGGGGTAAGAGGCAGAGAAAGGGGCTGGGTCCTGAAGTTGTCGTTTGAGGGCCTGCATTCAGCTATACCAATGAATCCCCTTAAAGATGGACTTCAGGGCGGGCACAGTGGCACACGCCTGTAATCCCAACACTTTGGGAGGCTGAGGCGGGTGGATCACTTCAGGTCAGGAGTTGGAGACCAGCCTGGCCAACATGGTGAAACCCTGTCTCTACTAAAAATACAAAAATTAGCTGGGCATGGTGGCGGGTGCCTGTAATCCCAGCTACTTGGGAGGCTGAGGCAGGAGAATCGCTTGAATCCAGGAGGAGGAAGTTTCAGTGAGCCGAGATCGTGCCATTGCACTCCAGCCTGGCGACAGAGCCAGAGTCCATCACAAAAAAAAAAAAAAAAATATATATATATATATATATATATATATTTCGGTCACTTACAGCCTAGAGTCCTGACAATAAAATTTTCAGTATGAAAATATGCAGACTTTTTATTACTGGCACACAAAGGAGGATATTGGCACAAAATGAAAATCTGGACCCAATGGTAGAGAGCAGCCATTTCAATTTGTCCCAGGAAAAGACTGTCCTATGTCAGCTTGAGGCTTGGCCATGGCTGGAGAGGAGAGCCTACCCCAACAAGCAAATTTGTCTAAAACGTATATATATTTTTTAATTGTGCAAGTAATGCATATCACTTGTGGAAAAAATAGATAATGCATATAAGTTTTGGGGTCTTTTTTTTTGACAGACAGTGTCTCACTTTGTCACCCAGGCTGGAGTGCAGTGGCGTGAACATGGCTCACTGTAGCCTCAATCTCCTGGGCTCAAGCAATCCTCCCACCCCAGCTTCCTGAGTAGCTGGGACTACAGGCATGTGCCACTATGCCCGGCTAATTAAAAAAAAAAAATTTGGAGAAGGGATCTCACTATGTTGGCCAGGCTGGTCTCAAACTCCTGGATATAAGGGATCCTCTCACCTTGGCCTCCCAAAGTGTAGGGATTATAGGCATGAGCCACCGTGCCCAGCAATGCATATAAGCTTTTTAAAAATATATACTATTCATCCTTCTAGAATTTTTTCTATTCATATGGAAATTTTTAAAACATTTTTTACAAAATTGCAATTATAAACACTTTTTTAAGCCTACCTACTCTCTCTCCTTAATATATATTGGGAATATGTTTCATTATTGCCACACAAAGATGTACCTCACAAATTTTAATTCTTCTATGGTATATATATATATTTTTTTTATTTTTTAAATTTATTTTTGAGATGGAGTTTTGCTCTGTCACCCAGGCTGGAGTGCAGTGGTGTGATCTTGGCTCACTGCAACCTCCGCCTCTGGGTTCAAGCGATTCTCCTGCCTCAGCCTTCTGAGTAGCTGGGATTACAGGCGCCCACCACCACACCCATCTAATTTTTGTAGTTTTAGTAGAGACAGGGTTTCACCATGTTGGGCAGGCTGGTCTCGAACTCCTGACCTCAGGTGATCTGCCTGCCTTGGCCTCCCAAAGTGCTGGGATTATAGGCATGAGCCACCACACCTGGCCTATATTTTATTTTATATATATATATACACACACACACACACACACACACACACACACCCAGTGAATACATTGAGTCATAACTTAATCATAGGTGGTTAGACATTCTTGTTTCCTCTCCTATATATTCAGTGAAAAACATTATTGTTCAAATTCACACACCTGTAGTCCCAGCTACTCAGGATGCTGAGTGGGAGGATCACTTAAGCCCTGGGAGGTCGAGACTGCAGTGAGCTCTGATAATGCCATTGCACTGCAGCCTGAGTGACAGAGAAAGACCCTGTCTCTCAAATAAAACAGAGCAAAATAAAAAACAAAAACAGAAAACCAAAAACCCAAAAGCATCCTCGTTCATATGTCTGCACACCTGTCCGATTTTTCTCCAGATTAATTGCTGGCATTGGAATTGATAGCTCAAAGAGTAAGCACCGTTTCTCAAGAGTTCAGATCATTATTGATAAATTACCCTCTAGAGAGGCTGGAGTTCAACCCCTAGACCAATCTATATGCACACCAGCAATGTATGCAAGTGTACTTTAGCCATAGGTTTTGATGGGAAAGTAGAGAGAGGAAGGAAGGGATTGGGAGCGTGATGCATGTCTCGGGAGGGTGGAGTTGTGAGGACACCATGCTAGAGGGTATGAGAAGGGAGGACCAGTTTGTTCAGTTGTGTGGGCTGTGCGCTGCACAACTCGGGGATACCATTCAAAACCATATGTATTAGACATCTGAGGCTTGGAGAAGCTTGGGAAATAGTAGTTGAGTGGCCACTTGCTACATATTTTTAAATTCCGCTGGCCTACCCAGCTCCTAGCCTATGGTTTTTAAAACCCCTCTGCTAGCTGGAGGCTGGATGAGTCAATGGAGCGTGTATCGGTGATACCGTATAGAAGCACTACTGTCTTGATCAAGAATTTGCATTTTCTTCCTGAAATTATGCAGCATCTTAAACATGAATATTCAATAATATTTAATATTCAATAATAATAATTATAAAATAAATATTGGGAATTTAATCCATAGAGTATTATTTAAACACTAAAAATAATCAACATCAGTCATGGTAACAAGATGGAAATTGCCCATAGTATTACTAAGTGAAAAATGAATAAAATGCCACGTGCAGATTATTTTATGATTATGTAAAAAATAACTTTATATAGAAAATAGGCTACAAAGACATATGTAAAATATTGTGATTGTTCAGTGGCAGGATAAGGAGTGATGTTTTTATTCTCTCTGTTTTATATTTTTAAAATTATTTACAAAGAACATATATGGCTTTTACAAAGTAATAAAAACTTTATTTACTTAGAAACCTATATTCCACCATGATAATGTTTTTTACTCTTTTCTTCTTTAGTTAAAATTTGACATACTTAGACTATTTTTTCTGAGCCTTTTTAGGAGTGTGTGTTTGTGTGTGTGTGTAAATATGCAAAAAAAATTTGAAACACTAGTATTTGGAAAGTGTTCTTTGTTTTATTTTAATCTGATTGTTAGTGTACTCTGTTCGTTCTGAAATTCCAAAATCATCTTGTTTTGTATTTCATAGTCTTTCTAATAGTGTTTTTGGTTTTGGGTTTGGGCTGTGTGTGTGTGTGTCTATGTACACAATAAGTGCTTATGGTTAAATAATATTTTCACTAGCAGAGAAGTTTGAGGATTTTTGCCTATAGACCTCCTATTACAAGTCTTCACAGTCTTTCTCTCTCTCTCTCTCTCTTTTTTTTTTTTTTTTTATGAGACAGGATCTCTGTCTCTGTCACTCAGGCTGGAGTGCAGTGGCGCAGTCACAGCTCACTGCAGCCTCCGCCTGCTGGGCTCAAGTGATCCTCCCACCTCAGCTTCCTGAGTAGCTGGGATGACAGGCACACTCCACCATGCCTGGCTAATTTTTGTATTTTTTGTAGAGATGGGGTTTCATCATGTTGCCCAGGCTGGTCTTGATCTCCTGGGCCCAAGTGATCCTCCCTTCTTGTCCTCCCAACGTGCTGGGATTCCAGACATGAGCCACTGCACCCAGCCTCTTCACAGTCTTAACTGACAAGGAATCATAGACCGCAAGTCATTTGGAGAACAGTTTGGCCTCACAGAGAAAGCCTTCCACGCTACACGTGTTATACTTCACTGGAGAATATGCACTGAATCAGCGGACAGTCTAAAAGGCAGGGCATTCAGAAGACTCAGTTAAAAGTGGTGGGTGTTCAGGTGTGTTTTGATTTGATTTAACTTTATTTTTTATTCTGAAAAACCACTCCTTTCTATTTAGAGAAGATCTGGCCTACATAGTTAGATAGAAAATAGATGATGAAAACAGCTCAGGATAAAAACCAAACACGTATGGAAAGGATCTTTAAACAATACAAATAAAAGGTTTTGTAGTTCCTCCCATATTTTTCTACAAAAAGCGGAAATTACAACTTAAGGCTCAGCACTGAGAGGGAGAGAGGTTTCTCCAAGTCGGGCAGCTGGCTGGGCTATTAAGCACGACAGGTTTTATTTTTTCTGAAAGGTCACTTGAAGTTCTCATTACTGGCCTTAACTTTCTTGTCTTCAATGTTGTGGCTGAAGACAAAGACTTATTTTTTTTTTCCAGGTAAAACATGCCCTATGGCAATTTGTTAATAATGTGGGCTCTAGCAGCAGACAGACCTGTTTGAATCCCAACGTGTCAGGTTATTAACCCATTTATGCCTGAGATTGTAATTTTTTGAATTTTTGCAACCAGACTTTGGTGACGACTTTGAGCAGTAGGATATAAATAACTCCCACGTGCTTAGCGTTCCAATAATGGAACACTAGGCATAAATGGGTTTTAATAACCATGGGCAGATTATGTAACTTCTGAGCCACAGTTTTCTGTTTGTAAAATGGGAGTAATAATTCCTGCCTATGAAGATCGAATCAGATGCTTCAGTCCACATAAGGAACATGGCACAGTGCCAAGGACATAGTAAATCCACAAGAAATATTGGCTGTTGTTGTTATTGTTGTTGCAGCTGTTGGCTCTATTTTCCTGAATAGGGGTTCTTTTTAAAAAGCCAACTAATGCCCTCCTTTAAGTTCTTCAAAGGCACAAAGCAGGCTCCCATCTCACCTTGGAAATCACTGATTTGTTTTCTGCTCCTATACTTTTGCCTTTTCCAGCATGTTACATGAATGGAGTCATACATCATGTAGCCTTCGAGTCT